>NC_000023.11:34242483-34392839 GCF_000001405.40 Homo sapiens
CAGAAAAAGAAAAGGAAAATCCATAAAGCAAACAGGAGATGTTAAGGTGAAGCGACCTTGGTCACGGAAGACTTTTCATATTTTGTGTTGAGTTTCAGGTAAGGCTGTTTGCCGCTTTGCTTTTCCTGAAATTTCCTTTATTTTTTCCTTCAAATTAACTCCAGTGATTTTCTGGAGTTTTGTTTTGTTTTGTTTTTGCAACCAAAGGATCCCCTCACAAGAAAGCTCAGAATCCGTTATTCTTTTCAAGAGGTGGGGAAACTGAGACCAAGGTATCTTCTAAGTAATTCTAACCCAAGATCATGTATCTAGGAGGTTTAACCACTCCTCAGCCCCCAGTCAGAAATGACAAGATCATTCTAAAAGAATGTGCACCCATGCAGTCACTCATACAATAAATTCATATCAAGAAATATACTCTGTGGAAAATGTATACCTTGTGAGAACATGTATGTTGGGATATTGATATGGTCACAAAAACTTGGAGAGAAAACAGTAAATATACAAAAGTGAGGAAGTAGTTATTTAAATCATAGTATAGCATTTCCTTTACATTATATGCAGGCATTTTAAATGATTATTACAAAACTACATAACAATATTGACATTTCTAGGACAAAATGTTTAGTTCTTAAAAACAGAAAACAAGTGTTTATTAAAGGTCTTGCAACCTAGTAAAATTTATATGTGTATGGATAAGTATGGAAGAAATCAGGTCGTCTGCTCTTGAGTTTTAGTTTGTGAAATGTATGAAAATGGCTATAAAATCAACCTTTTCTACCCATAATATTATAATATTTATCTGTGAAATAAATATGGATGATAAGTTAATTTATTGTAGGCCAAAATATGTAAAACATGAACTTAGGAAAATACAAAACACTTCCATCTTCCACAATTTCATTAGCTAGAAAAACAATTTATGAAGATAAATAGTGAGAACTATTAGGGAAATATTAATGTTAGTCATTACCAGTAGCTAAACTTTTAAAACAATTTTGAAAAATTGTGGAATCCTATAAAGTAATTTAGCCTGTGGCTTATAAAAGTAAATTATTTCATTTAATTTAATGCAACAAACATCTGTATGACAATGTAATTGGGCCTAATGAAAAAGATAAAACAATCTACTCTCAAGAAATTTGTAGTCAAGTGGGAAAATAGATATAAAATAATATATCATAATGTATTGGGTGGAACAGTATTAATATATCAAGCACACAGTTCCATTTCTTGAATTTTTGAATAAATTTCCTTGATATCTGCCCCATTGCCTAATAACTAAGTTGCCTTTTCTGTTTTAAAACATGGCTTTCCTTTTATCATATCTCCATAACATTTATGTATTTGTCAAAGGTATTTCCTTCTACAAAATGTGTCCCATTTGTCCATCATGCTATCCTACTAATTCTCATTCCAGCAACCATGCTGTTCAAATGACTGTGACTGATCAGGAGGCTTAATTAACTTGTCAAGGGAAAGATAGTTGTTTTCAGTCCATTTTCACTTTTCCATATGGCAAAAAAGTCCATCTCCAGCATGCATTTATAGATATATGTGCTGCATTGTGAAATGATGGCAAATTATCTAAACTTACCCCCTAGAAATTAGAATGAGGGCTACAAATAAATAATAATAAACACCAAAGGTTTCTTTTATTTTTTTTTTCAGAGATTTACATCCCAATAGGTGAAAGAGTAACCCCATCTTCTTTGCCAGTGCTAGTTTCAGAAATAGATGTGTAATGTGATTTAGAACATTGAGACACAAAGGAAGGTTTTGCTCAGGGGTTCTGGGAAAGCTCTTCTATATTCTTTTGATTTTTTTTTTTAACAGACAGTCTCACTTTGTCACCCAGGCTCAAGTGCAGTGGCACAATCATAGCTCACTGCAACCTTAAACTCCTGTGCTCCTGTCTCAGTAAGTGGGACTACAGGCTCCTGTCATCACTTCTGCCTATTTTTTTATACATATATATTTCTTTAGATATAAGGTCTCCCTATGTTGCTCAGGCTGGTCTCAAAATCCTGGCCTCAAGCAATCCTCCTGCCTCAGTCACCAGAGCCACCACATCAGGGCTGAAATTATTATTCATTTATTTATTTATGCATTTTAGAAGCAGCTCTCCCCTTTCTTTTTTCTCTGTTCCTTTTTTGATATGGGGTCTGAATTTGAGTAAGCCATCTTGCTCCTAGTCTATGAATGAAGCCAGCCACCAGTAGAGAAAAGAGCAAAGAGAATCTGTGAGCAAAGGAACACAATTGCCAACTCTGAAGACTGCTTATGTGTTATGAGACAACACATTTTCATGTTTAAGCTATTTTGGTTTTGGCTTTGTTGTTTTCTGTGAAGACATTCATTCATTCACTGACAAATATTTACTGTGCAATTAATATGAACTAGGAAATGTTCTAAGGGTTGGGTGACACAAGAAGTGGGAAAAAAAGCTAAAAATTTCTACCTTCATAGAGACCACATTCTACTGGATTATAATGAAATCATTCTACCTGATGAAGATTTATAATAGTGATTTTGAAATAAATTCATAATTTGGAATCAGTCCTAGGACATAGATACACCTTAAAGTGCAAAACTTTTTAAAATTTTGAGAAGAAAATTACATAGTTATAGCAGAAGCTGTTGAGGTCACCTTTAGTTCCCATTCATGTCTATGGATTCCTCTGCCTATTCTCTGGATATAAGAGTCCAGAAATGCCATGAGGGAGAGTGAATGCTCCAGATGCAATCTTCAACCAATCAGGAATGGGAGTCGGCGGGTTTATGTCCCAGCTCCCTGACCCCTCAGTGTAGAAATTCGAAGGTTTATTCTCCCATGGATTTAACCTGATCACTAATGCACCCTTTAGATTCCTTACTACCTTCTTGGTTTCACTTTCCCACTTTGATGCCATATTTTCTGAAATCACCTCTCAAATAAACCACTTGTACCAAAATCCTTGTCAAAGAGTCCACATTTGGAGGAACCCAAACTAAGATGATGGTAAATACAGCTATCAATTGTGTATCTCTTCTTCTCCATGCTTCTTCTTTAAATTTAAGCTGCAGCATTCTCCAGTGATACAGAAATACCAGGATAAAAACAAGACAAGAGAATTTCTCTCCTTCATTCTATTGTTCTTCCACTCTTTCCTTCTTTTTTTTTTTTCATTTTCAGACAATATCCTGGGCCTTACATAAATATCCACAGTACTTATTAGTCCTGTTTAATTTTCTGTGACTAATTCTTCTGATAGGTCTTTCTGCCCAAAATACGTAGCATAGATTGGAGACTACAGAGAAGTCAGCCAATCACAGGGAACACAGTGAGTAATGTGTTATGTTGATAATATAACGATCACTCCATCCTGTTTATATGTATCTGTGTTGACTCCCTGTAAAAGCAGCAGCCCAATGCCAGGAAAAAAATTGAAGATAAACTTTCCTGTGACAACATAAGGTGTTTTATTTTTATTTTCATTTTTAATCAGAAGACAAAAAATAAAAACTACTTTCACAACTACTTAAGGATCTTTGTAAAGTTTTTTTGCAGTTTTATTAAAATCTTGGTAACAGAAATGCATATATTTTTATTCCTTGTGTCTTATAGCCCATGAAGTTTTAAAGTATGTCAGCTGGTTTTCATTTTCTATATTTAATTCTTCCTTTTTTTTCTTACTGGCATAGAGCTGGCATAATTCACTGAAATTATTCACTAAATTCAGTTATTTTAAATTTGAAATACTAACATTCTTTCCAGTTCATTGAGCAAATTGTATACGACACAAACCTTTTAGTAATTGTGAAGTTAAGCTGAATTTATGCAGGGTAGATTCTCTGCTAAATTGAAAATAATTCTAGGATGTATGTCTGGTTCTGTGTGTGCGTGTGTGTGACCATGTGTTCATGAATGAGCTCAGGTATGTATGCTTGGAGGAGAACGTGAGGTGAAGAGGGTCATTTCAGACAAACTTCTATAGTGTTTGTTTTGGATTAAATTAGACTGCTAGTCTGAACTAAGAAGTAGTATTTCTCCTAATTAATCAAGCTAGTCCTAGGTACATTTTGCATATCATTCATTCTGACCAAATGGGAAACACTATCCGTATTCCCCTTAATTATTAATCTATGCTGTTTCTATCAAAAGGGCACAGATAAAAGGCTTGAAGAGCTTCCAATTTGAAATTAATCTTTTTAACTTCCAGTAAGTTATTGGGGTGGCCCACAGAATCAAGGTACCTCTTATATTGTAAAATCTTTACAAGTACCTGTTTCCCAAATGGGCTTTACCTCTGCATCATCAAAACCTAGAGCCCAGGCCATGATGACTTGGGAAGCTGGTGAAATTCCTAGTTAGCATTTTATGAAGTACATGGCCTTAACTAAGAAGAAGTCAATTTTAACATTCAAGAAATGTCAATGGTAGTGGGCCTCAATCTTTATGATTCATGAGGTTCAAGGACTGTAGCTGGTGCCCGGAATTTAGCAAGTGGTGCCTATCTACATATAACTTGGCCTTTTATCTTAACCAGAACTCTCAGAAACTGTAGAGCAAGTAGCTCTGTTGCTTATAGCCTTTGAAGTATAAGCATGTATGAAACTGAATAACTTCTACCAATTCTGATTAGCCTGCCTCCGTTGGACTACAGCTTTGGAACTTATGAGAGGAATCATCACTTAAATGTATTACTTTGAAGCACAAATACCTGCAAAACTGAACTCCAATTAATCCTAGTCTTATATGTGGCTATCCGAACAAGGTTCCTTCATTCAGCCAGACTCTAGACTTTAAACTGGACACATAAATGTATTGGCCACCATATTAGCAGCCTTATAATCAAGCCCACATACCAGGCATTGTGGAGGAAACAGTACAGTTGAATCATTTACTCCAACTCAATCTGCAGGAAATTGTCTTCATGTTTTCTAGTTATTTCTGCCCTTGTCTTTGCATGTCTCTAGTGTTCTGATCTTAAAAGCAATTATGTGATACATATTTTCCCAGTGAAACCCCTTATTCTCTGATGTTATAGCTGGATGAAATGCAAATATGCTTCACATACCATCTAAAAGAAACATCAGATAAGACACCATAGAAGGACAGATAGAACTATTCAAAAGTGACAGTCAAGTTTAGTGCAGGAAATAAAAAGCCCCCTTCCCTTAATGCATGTCAGCAAACCAAAAAGAATAATGGGAACATCGTTGTATAAATGGATGCTATTTAATGTCCAGTGCTCAAGTCTTACATATTTTATCAATGAAGAAAAATGACTGCAGAGAAACCACCAAAAAGAAATTTAATTTGCTTGAACATCAGAGCAGGCTTTAAAAAGCAGAATGAAAGTTTTCAAAGCTATTGCTATTTCTCAGCTTCCCATATTACTGGGAAAAAATTGCTGGCAAATACCATGTCAAAAGGTCATTCAACTTTTTAGAAGATGCTTGTTTGAAAATTCTTATTTCTCTCAATCTCTATGGATTCCTTAATCCTACCATCTTTTTGTGTCTGCAATGAATTTTAGTATAAAGGAATGGCTTTCTAGATGAAAGAAGTCAAATATATTTAGAAAGAGCCATTGAAATTCCAAGGACATTTTCTTTCTTGTGTTTCTTGCTTTTGAAGATATGAATAGAACAAATAAAGTTTATAATAAATCCAGATATTTTCTTTTTTTTTTTTTTCTCTTTAACAATTTATTCTTCTATTGACTAGGAATTGAAATGGTCATACTTCGGCTCTATCTGGTTAAATAAAATGTTTTATTATAATAAATCTCACCTGTTTCTACTTTTTTTTTTTTTTTATATTATACTTTAAGTTTTAGGGTACATGTGCACATTGTGCAGGTTAGTTACATATGTATACATGTGCCATGCTGGTGCGCTGCACCCACTAACTCGTCATCTAGCATTAGGTATATCTCCCAATGCTATCCCTCCCCCCTCCCCCCACCCCACCACAGTCCCCAGAGTGTGATATTCCCCTTCCTGTGTCCATGTGATCTCATTGTTCAGTTCCCACCTATGAGTGAGAATATGCGGTGTTTGGTTTTTTGTTCTTGCGATAGTTTACTGAGAATGATGGTTTCCAGTCTCATCCATGTCCCTACAAAGGACATGAACTCATCCTTTTTTATGGCTGCATAGTATTCCATGGTGTATATGTGCCACATTTTCTTAATCCAGTCTATCATTGTTGGACATTTGGGTTGGTTCCAAGTCTTTGCTATTGTGAATAATGCCGCAATAAACATACGTGTGCATGTGTCTTTATAGCAGCATGATTTATAGTCATTTGGGTATATACCCAGTAATGGGATGGCTGGGTCAAATGGTATTTCTAGTTCTACATCCCTGAGGAATCGCCACACTGACTTCCACAATGGTTGAACTAGTTTACAGTCCCACCAACAGTGTAAAAGTGTTCCTATTTCTCCACATCCTCTCCAGCACCTGTTGTTTCCTGACTTTTTAATGATTGCCATTCTAACTGGTGTGAGATGATATCTCATAGTGGTTTTGATTTGCATTTCTCTGATGGCCAGTGATGATGAGCATTTTTTCATGTGTTTTTTGGCTGCATAAATGTCTTCTTTTGAGAAGTGTCTGTTCATGTCCTTCGCCCACTTTTTGATGGGGTTGTTTGTTTTTTTCTTGTAAATTTGTTTGAGTTCATTGTAGATTCTGGATATTAGCCCTTTGTCAGATGAGTAGATTGCAAAAATTTCTGAGGGCTCTGTTCTGTTCCATTGATCTATATCTCTGTTTTGGTACCAGTACCATGCTGTTTTGGTTACTGTAGCCTTGTAGTATAGTTTGAAGTCAGGTAGTGTGATGCCTCCAGCTTTGTTCTTTTGGCTTAGGATTGACTTGGCGATGCGGGCTCTTTTTTGGTTCCATGTGAACTTTAAAGCAGTTTTTTCCAATTCTGTGAAGAAAGTCATTGGTAGCTTGATGGGGATGGCATTGAATCTGTAAATTACCTTGGGCAGTAGGGCCATTTTCACGATATTGATTCTTCCTACCCATGAGCATGGAATGTTCTTCCATTTGTTTGTATCCTCTTTTATTTCCTTGAGCAGTGGTTTGTAGTTCTCCTCAAAGAGGTCCTTCACATCCCTTGTAAGTTGGATTCCTAGGTATTTTATTCTCTTTGAAGCAATTGTGAATGGGAGTTCACTCATGATTTGGCTCTCTGTTTGTCTGTTGTTGGTGTATAAGAATGCTTGTGATTTTTGTACATTGATTTTGTATCCTGAGACTTTGCTGAAGTTGCTTATCAGCTTAAGGAGATTTTGGGCTGAGATGATGGGGTTTTCTAGATAAACAATCATGTCGTCTGCAAACAGGGACAATTTGACTTCCTCTTTTCCTAATTGAATACCTTTTATTTCCTTCTCCTGCATGATTGCCCTGGCCAGAACTTCCAACACTATGTTGAATAGGAGCGGTGAGAGAGGGCATCCCTGTCTTGTGCCAGTTTTCAAAGGGAATGCTTCCAGTTTTTGCCCATTCAGTATGATATTGGCTGTGGGTTTGTCATAGATAGCTCTTATTATTTTGAAATACGTCCCATCAATACCTAATTTATTGAGAGTTTTTAGCATGAAGGGTTGTTGAATTTTGTCAAAGGCCTTTTCTGCATCTATTGAGATAATCATGTGGTTTTTGTCTTTGGCTCTGTTTATATGCTGGATTACATTTATTGATTTGCGTATATTGAACCAGCCTTGCATCCCAGGGATGAAGCCCACTTGATCATGGTGGATAAGCTTTTTGATGTGCTGCTGGATTCGGTTTGCCAGTATTTTATTGAGGAGTTTTGCATCAATGTTCATCAAGGATATTGGTCTAAAATTCTCTTTTTTGGTTGTGTCTCTGCCCGGCTTTGGTATCAGGATGATGCTGGCCTCATAAAATGAGTTAGGGAGGATTCCCTCTTTTTCTATTGATTGGAATAGTTTCAGAAGGAATGGTACCAGTTCCTCCTTGTACCTCTGGTAGAATTCGGCTGTGAATCCATCTGGTCCTGGACTCTTTTTGGTTGGTAAACTATTGATTATTGCCACAATTTCAGCTCCTGTTATTGGTCTATTCAGAGATTCAACTTCTTCCTGGTTTAGTCTTGGGAGAGTGTATGTGTCGAGGAATGTATCCATTTCTTCTAGATTTTCTAGTTTATTTGTGTAGAGGTGTTTGTAGTATTCTCTGATGGTAGTTTGTATTTCTGTGGTATCGGTGGTGATGTCCCCTTTATCATTTTTTATTGTGTCTATTTGATTCTTCTCTCTTTTTTTCTTTATTAGTCTTGCTAGTGGTCTATCAATTTTGTTGATCCTCTCAAAAAACCAGCTCCTAGATTCATTGATTTTTTGAAGGGTTTTTTGTGTCTCTATTTCCTTCAGTTCTGCTCTGATTTTAGTTATTTCTTGCCTTCTGCTAGCTTTTGAATGTGTTTGCTCTTGCTTTTCTAGTTCTTTTAATTGTGATGTTAGGGTGTCAATTTTGGATCTTTCCTGCTTTCTCTTGTGGGCATTTAGTGCTATAAATTTCCCTCTACACACTGCTTTGAATGCGTCCCAGAGATTCTGGTATGTTGTGTCTTTGTTCTTGTTGGTTTCAAAGAACATCTTTATTTCTGCCTTCATTTCGTTATGTACCCAGTAGTCATTCAGGAGCAGGTTGTTCAGTTTCCATGTAGTTGAGCGGCTTTGAGTGAGATTCTTAATCCTGAGTTCTAGTTTGATCGCACTGTGGTCTGAGAGATAGTTTGGTATAATTTCTGTTCTTTTACATTTGCTGAGGAGAGTTTTACTTCCAACTATGTGGTCAATTTTGGAATAGGTGTGGTGTGGTGCTGAAAAAAATGTATATTCTGTTGATTTGGGGTGGAGAGTTCTGTAGATGTCTATTAGGTCTGCTTGGTGCAGAGCTGAGTTCAATTCCTGGGTATCCTTGTTGACTTTCTGTCTCGTTGATCTGTCTAATGTTGACAGTGGGGTGTTAAAGTCTCCCATTATTAATGTGTGGGAGTCTAAGTCTCTTTGTAGGTCACTCAGGACTTGCTTTATGAATCTGGGTGCTCCTGTATTGGGTGCATATATATTTAGGATAGTTAGCTCCTCTTGTTGAATTGATCCCTTTACCATTATGTAATGGCCTTCTTTGTCTGTTTTGATCTTTGTTGGTTTGAAGTCTGTTTTATCAGAGACTAGGATTGCAACCCCTGCCTTCTTTTGTTTTCCATTTGCTTGGTAGATCTTCCTCCATCCTTTTATTTTGAGCCTATGTGTGTCTCTGCACGTGAGATGGGTTTCCTGAATACAGCACACTGATGGGTCTTGACTCTTTATCCAACTTGCCAGTCTGTGTCTTTTAATTGGAGCATTTAGTCCATTTACATTTAAAGTTAATATTGTTATGTGTGAATTTGATCCTGTCATTATGATGTTAGCTGGTGATTTTGCTCGTTAGTTGATGCAGTTTCTTCCTAGTCTCAATGGTCTTTACATTTTGGCATGATTTTGCAGCGGCTGGTACCGGTTGTTCCTTTCCATGTTTAGCGCTTCCTTCAGGAGCTCTTTTAGGGCTGGCTTGGTGGTGACAACATCTCTCAGCATTTGCTTGTCTGTAAAGTATTTTATTTCTCCTTCACTTATGAAGCTTAGTTTGGCTGGATATGAAATTCTGGGTTGAAAATTCTTTTCCTTAAGAATGTTGAATATTGGCCCCCACTCTCTTCTGGCTTGTAGGGTTTCTGCCGAGAGAGCCGCTGTTAGTCTGATGGGCTTCCCTTTGAGGGTAACCCGACCTTTCTCTCTGGCTGCCCTTAACATTTTTTCCTTCATTTCAACTTTGGTGAATTTGACAATTATGTGTCTTGGAGTTGCTCTTCTCGAGGAGTATCTTTGTGGCGTTCTCTGTATTTCCTGAATCTGAACGTTGGCCTGCCTTGCTAGATTGGGGAAGTTCTCCTGGATAATATCGTGCAGAGTGTTTTCCAACTTGGTTCCATTCTCCGCATCACTTTCAGGTACACCAATCAGACGTAGATTTGGTCTTTTCACATAGTCCCATATTTCTTGGAGGCTTTGTTCATTTCTTTTTATTCTTTTTTCTCTAAACTTCCCTTCTCGCTTCATTTCATTCATTTCATCTTCCATTGCTGATACCCTTTCTTCTAGTTGATCGCATCGGCTCCTGAGGCTTCTGCATTCTTCACGTACTTCTCGAGCCTTGGTTTTCAGCTCCATCAGCTCCTTTAAGCACTTCTCTGTATTGGTTATTCTAGTTATACATTCTTCTAAATTTTTTTCAAAGTTTTCAACTTCTTTGCCTTTGGTTTGAATGCCCTCCCGTAGCTCAGAGTAATTTGATCGTCTGAAGCCTTCTTCTCTCAGCTCGTCAAAATCATTCTCCATCCAGCTTTGTTCCGTTGCTGGTGAGGAACTGCGTTCCTTTGGAGGAGGAGAGGCGCTCTGCGTTTTAGAGTTTCCAGTTTTTCTGTTCTGTTTTTTCCCCATCTTTGTGGTTTTATCTACTTTTGGTCTTTGATGATGGTGATGTACAGATGGGTGTTCGGTGTGGATGTCCTTTCTGTTTGTTAGTTTTCCTTCTAACAGACAGGACCCTCAGCTGCAGGTCTGTTGGAATACCCTGCAGTGTGAGGTGTCAGTGTGCCCCTGCTGGGGGGTGCCTCCCAGTTAGGCTGCTCGGGGGTCAGGGGTCAGGGACCCACTTGAGGAGGCAGTCTGCCCGTTCTCAGATCTCTAGCTACGTGCTGGGAGAACCACTGCTCTCTTCAAAGCTGTCAGACAGGGACATTTAAGTCTGCAGAGGTTACTGCTGTCTTTTTGTTTGTCTGTGCCCTGCCCGCAGAGGTGGAGCCTACAGAGGCAGGCAGGCCTCCTTGAACTGTGGTGGGCTCCACCCAGTTCGAGCTTCCCGGCTGCTTTGTTTACCTAAGCAAGCCTGGGCAATGGCGGGCGCCACTCCCCCAGCCTCGCTGCCGCCTTGCAGTTTGATCTCAGACTGCTGTGCTAGCAATCAGCAAGATTCCGTGGGCGTAGGACCCTCCGAGCCAGGTGTGGGATATAGTCTCGTGGTGCGCCGTTTTTTTAAGCCGGTCTGAAAAGCGCAATATTCTGGTGGGAGTGACCCGATTTTCCAGGTGTGTCCGTCACCCCTTTCTTTGACTCGGAAAGGGAACTCCCTGACCCCTTGCGCTTCCCAGGTGAGGCAGTGCCTCGCCCTGCTTCGGCTCGTGCACGGTGCGCACACCCACTGGCCTGCGCCCACTGTCTGGCACTCCCTAGTGAGATGAACCCGGTACCTCAGATGGAAATGCAGAAATCACCCGTCTTCTGCGTCGCTCACGCTGGGAGCTGTAGACTGGAGCTGTTCCTATTCGGCCATCTTGGCTCCTCCCCCTAAATCCAGATATTTTCAATTGTTAACTGATAGCCCTCTGAAACCATAAGTGTGCTATTGTGAAATACAGACTTCCAAATATCCAATACATATTTAATCATAATAATTAACTCCTTTCAACCTCCAAATAATGTTTATATTTCCCTCAAAATTGATTATTCATGTTACTACCTCATGCAATTTCATATTTCATTTAGTTACATTAATATTCTATTAGTTCTGGGCCAATATACACTGGCAATTTTGTTACTTTATGACTATATCTCACTATGTATTACCTAATTGCATTTTTCCAATTCCAAAGTAAGATTTTAAAAAATGAATCCTATGAAAGCTTTCGTATTTCTCCACATCCTCTCCAGCATCTGTTGCTTCCTGACTTTTTAATGATCGCCATTCTAACTGGCATGAGATGGTATCTCATTGTGGTGTCGATTTGCATGTCTCTAATGACCAGTGATGATGAGCTTTTTTTCATGTTTGTTGGCCGCATAAATGTCTTCTTTTGAGAAGTGTCTGTTCATATCCTTCACCCAATTTTTAATGGGGTTGTTTGTTTTTTTCTTGTAAATTTGTTTAAGTTCCTTGTAGATTCTGGATATTAGTTCTACCATCTTGGAAGACAGTGTGGCAATTCCTCAAGGATCTAGAACCAGAAATAGCATTTGACGCAGCAATCCCATTACTGGGCATATACCCAAAGGATTATAAATCATTCTACTATAAAGACACATGCACATGTATGTTTACTGCAGCACTACTCACAATAGCAAAGACTTGGAACCAACCCAAATGCCCATCAGTGACAGACTGGATAAAGAAAATGTGGCACATGTACACCATGGAATACTATGCAGCCATAAAAAAGGATGAGTTCATGTCCTTTGCAGGAACATGAATGAAGCTGGAAACCGTCATTCTCAGCAAACTGACACAGGAACAGAAAACCAAACACCGCATGTTCTCACTCATAAGTGGGAGTTGAACAATGAGAACACATGGACACAGGGAGGGGAACATACCGGGGCCTGTTAGGGGGTGGGGGGCTAGGGGAGGGATAGCATTAGGAGAAATACCTAATATAGATGATGGGTTGATGGGTGCAGCAAACCACCATGGCAAGTGTATACCTATGTAACAAACCTGCACGTTCTGCACATGTATCCCAGAACTTAACAATATAATTTTAAAAAGAATCATATTGTTGATATCTATGAAATAATTGATTACTTAGATAATCATCTGGCATTTTTATTCATGCTGGGCCTCCTGGGCCTGCTAGCACAGACCATTTTTTTCCATAATGCAACCCTCAATTAATTGATGTGGTCAATATCAGTGATTTAATTCAATAAAATGACCATTATCTCTCTTCTTACATGATGCCCCATGATCAGGGGTTGTGATCTGTTCACTTTTATCAAGTTGTTTAGATGTATAAACACAGCTAGAAATTGCATTTTCAATATCTTACCAATTTGGTTATATTTGCTATAATAAATATTACAGTAATAATTTACTGTAATAATTACTGTTTCATTTATCTCACAATAATTATTTAATATTACATAATATCTAAATATAATAAAATATAACATTTGTGATAGTTTTAAATATTTACATAAAATTAGCTGGAACGGTATTATTTGAATGCAACTGGCCTAAAATTAATCACTTGCAATCTTAGCTGTAAATAAGGCCAAGGGTTGAGAAAACACTATAAAAATAATCATTTGACTTGGTCTTTATACCATTTGTACTTTCTGACTTTCAACATATTCTCTTCTGGCTTTTTCCCAAACCACATTAATAATACTGTTCCTTGCTAATGTTCATTTTTTAAATTAATATTTCTTATTCCCTCTTGATACCACATAGGCTTATCTTACTTGGGTGCACTGTGTGATTTGTAACATAGTTCACTATTTTTTTTTTCATCTTGATATCCTCTCCTCCTTTGACATTTGGAACACCACACTTGTTTTCACTCTACCTCATACAAACTCTTTATCATTCTCTTTTATTGTTGCAGTATTAGTTATCCATTGCTACATAATAATATTACCACACACTTAGCAACTTAAAACAGCACACAATTGTTATCTCAGAGTTTCTGTGGGTCAGGAGTCTGAGCACAGCTTAGCTGTGCCTTCTACTTTATGATCTCAAAAAGCTGTACTCAAGATGTTGGCCAGATCTATCGTCTCATCTGAGGCTTCACTGGAGGATTTGCTTCCAAGCTCACGTGATTATGGGTAGAATTCAGTTCTCTACAGTATGTGAAACTCATGTTCTCAGTTTTTTTGCTGGTCAGAGACTGCCCTCAATTTTTGGCTATGTAGGCCAGAAATTCTCCCAGTCTGAAAACTTTTTCAAATCCAGGAAGAGTCTCTTAGCAAGATTGGGAATTACAATTTTATGTAACAATCTTGTGTAATGTAATCATATGCATCCAGTCACCTTTGGTTGGAAGCAAGTCACAGGACTTGCCCATACTCAAGGGGAGAGTAGTACCCAAGGACATGAATACCAGAAGGCAAGGACCACAGAATTCACCTTAAAAACTGTCTGCCACAGTATCCTATTATTTTACCATTTCCTACATTGCAATTCGTCCCCAATACTTTGTTTTTACCTTTTCTTTTTGCAGCCAAGACCAGACTAAAAAGTCAATTGCCTGTTGGATATTCCATGGATACTTCGAACAAAATATATCCACAATCAACTCCATCATTTTTCAACCTTTTTCTTCCCCTACAAGCCTGACATTTATTTGTTTGTCTTACTTATCTCAGAGAATGTAATGTCCAGCTACCCAGTTAAATGCAACCAGAGCCTTCTTTGTCTCTTTTCTCTATATCTAACATCTTTAGATCCCCACCACTTCCGTCTTTCATGAATTTATTTAATAACTCCTAATGTGAAATTATTACCACACGCAGATGGTACAATTGTATATTTAGATTGCCTATGAAAATCAACTAAAAACACTACAAAAATATGTGAATTCAGTAATATAGCTGCATAATAGAATTACATGTAGATTCCAGTAGATTTTCTGTATACAAAAATAAACAGGTGGGAGATCTAATAGAAGAATAGTCCCCAATTATAATGGCAACAAAAATTAAAACTAAATTGACATATAATGTAAGACTTATATGAAGAAAACTATAAAATTCAGGTGAAGGGCAAACACCCCGAACAAAAGAAAGCCTGTGTTCTTAGGTAAGAAAGCTCTACATAAAAAGATCTATTTTTCACTACGTAATTTTACACTTTACTATAATCCAAGTTAAACTTATTAAGAGGTTTTTGTTGAAAACTTGATCCTTAAGTTAGTTAACATCAGTTTTAAAATAACCGAGAAAATATATAAAATAAAAACAAGGAGAAAATAAATGAAAATAAAATGAGTCTCACTTTGGGAGGCTGAGGTGGGAAGATAACTGAGTTCAAGACTAGCCTGGGCAACATAGCAAAACCCCATCTCTACAAAAAAATACAAAAATCAGCTGGGTGTGACAGCACACTCTTGTAGTCTCAGCTACTCGGGAGGCTGAGGTGGGAGGATCACTTGAGCCTGGTAGGCAGAGGTCGCAGTGAGCCAGGATCATGCCACTGAACTCCACCTTGAGTGACAGAACCAGACACTGTCTCAAAAACAAACAAACAAACAAACAAATAAATAAATCAAGTCTAAGCAATTATAATGGTGTGGTATTGGCCCAGACAATTCATTTAATATGTGATGAAGTTTGAACCTTTGATCATGAAAAAAAACATTTTGATTATTCAATTAGTTGAATAACATCTATACAACTAGATGTTATAAATTAATAAATGTCTATATTGCATGCTATGAGATAAAAGGATAATTTTCAAATGTATCAAAGGCCTAAATATAAAGAATGAAACCATACAGTACTAGAATAAAGAATGTCCGTATGGCCTTGAAATTGATAAGGCCTTCCTCATTGCGACCATGAATCTGCACGTGTTAAAGGAAAGACTGATAATTGAAGCAAAAATAATTTTCAAAAATATATTGGATACAAATACCGTAGGCACAGTCAAAAGACAATTGACAACCACATATGAAAATTACACTGGCGTACCATTTTTCATCTGAACGGATTGGCAAAAATCCAAAATTTGATATTGTAGTCTGTATACGAGTCTGTGTAAAAGAGACATTCATAAACAAATGCTCCTTGATTCACGATGGGTTTAGTTAGACATAACCCTATTGTAAGTCAAGAAGCATAATGAATGTACATCACCTTCATGCCATCAAAAAGTCAAAAAAACTCATAACTTGAACCATCATATGTCAGGGGCCGTCTATACATTGTGGGTAAAGTATACATTGAAACAGACGTAATGGGAGAGTTGTTGACAATATTTAGAATAGTCGCAAACAGTTTTCATTATACTGTCCCAACCCCTTATCTTTTCACACAAAACCCAGCAAGCTGAAAGCTTTGTTTACCTCACTTGTATAATCTCCCTTCACTCCCTTTAAGAGAAATTCTCATTTCACCCTTCCATGCCTTTATAGATGCTATTATGTCTACAGGGAAATTTGTTCCTCTAATCTCCCACTCTTCCATTTACCTAAATCCTATTCGCCCTTTGAATCTCCACTCAAGAGACATCTTCCCCAGGAATCCTGCCTCATTGCCCTCTCTGATTTTCTTTCCGGTTCCTACTTTGATTATTCTCTCTCTGCAAGCTTTCACAACACTCTATGTACAACTCCATCAAAGAACTTATTAAACTCTTTTGTAAATTTTGAGCTTCGTATCACCAATCCCTAACAAAGTATGTGACACACTGGAAAGTCAGAGCTAACCTAATTCAACAACTAACAAACATTGGTTTTTAACCCCTAAATGACCCACATTGCCACAAAATAATTTAAAACATCCATATTATCAACACAAATGTTTGAGCAGTATCATAAAAATCAATTCACCTTCCCATGTACTTTTGGCAATGAATATGCAGTCAAATTATAGGCATAATTTCCTACTACTCCAGTGAATAACCCTGCACATACCTGACACTAACATTTAAATTAAAAGTTTAGTCAGCCAAAGACCACCAGGAACAAGACTGTAGTCAGAAAAATAATCAGATTTATTCACTCAGTGCAACAAGGGAGGATATGCCAGAGGAATATTATTCCAGAGGATGGAAGCATCCTTCCTAAAGGTTAGGTTTGCTGAAGCATTATGAGGGGATCATTTCTGGATTGGATACTGTTTCTAGGGTGGGATCATTGATAAGAAATCACTTAAAGAGAAGGATGCTACAACGTTTTACACTTTCGTTGTGATTTTGGGAGCAACAATGATTACAGTAAACTACATGCCTGGCTTTGTATGTGTCTATCTTCCTGGTCTGGTTAATTACAGGACTTTTGTTCTTTTTTAGTCCAATATGGATTTTCACTTTTCCAGTCCTGAACATGTTTTCACTTTTTCAGCAATCTTTGAAAACCAGAATGATAGGACTATCATAGCCCTTGGAATTTTAAACCTAGCTCTTTCATTTACTGGTTTAAAAACTTTTAAATTTTAGTTTAGTCTAATGACCTCATATGTAAAATTTGATAAGCATATTTGTTCAAAGAGCTGTTATTTTAAGGATTAAATAATCTAAAATATTTAACATACATAATATAGTACCTCCATATAATAGGTATTAAATATGCCATAGCTGACAAGAGGAAGAGGAAGAGTAGGAGTCTAAAATTTCAAAATAACTGGTAGTGAAGACGAAACAGTAATCGGACTCACTGTTGTTTTCCAAAGACGTATTTTTTATTAGAGTCAAAGAAACTGTCACTGAATTTGAAGGGGTAAAAGATTTGTTGGGATCAGCAGCCAAGTAGAATAGAACTTTGAAGGTCAGAACTAAAAGTTCAAATTCAGTCTATGAGATTGTTGGGAGATACAGAGTAATATGCACTCTGGGAGAAGTTTCAAATACCATCCCAGCTGGTGTGAGTGATGTGTCTATTATATTTTTGTCAAATTTGGCACCATCCACCTGTCTCACATCAGAGCATTATATGAAAAGAATAGGCTTTTCCAAAGTATCAAGTTGTCAAAATGTTTCAATCCTCTTAACAAAAGTGTTGTATTTAGCTCCATAGTACATCTGTATCATTGAAATAAGGCCCTTTACTGCTAAAAAGAAATTATCCAGGAAAAATGAAAAGAGGAAAAGGAGAATGTGTATGAAAAAACTTAATGATAATAACCACAACTATCCCCAACCTGGATTCTACTTCGTACGTTTCTGTCTGAATGTGCCACATTTTAGTCTCTTTAAACTGATGAAAAAATAATCATTTCCGTATTCAGAAACCTAGACTCAAATATTTATTGAACACCCTGTATGTGCTGGCCTTATGTTATACGCTATGGATAAAACAGTGAATTAGATGTTCATGCTCCCTACCCTGATGGAGCTCTGATTACCTGGTAATCAGAAAAGTAATCACGTATTTGCAATTCACTGTGATAAGTGCTTTATGAGAAGGGAAGTGAACAATTAAAGTGCAAAGGATTATAGGACTTTCCGGGGAGGATGTAAACCTAGACAGTCGCTGTAGCCCTCTCTTTCAACTTTGATCCAACTTCAAACTAGCACCTATGTGTGAAAGAGTTGCTAGATTCAGAGGCAGGTGGACACCACAAGGTGAAAAATCAGCCACTTGTTTTGTTGGGATCTGATCCTACAGAACTGGCAATGGACTTTTCCTATTTGGGTGAGACCAAAGTCTGTAACCAGCTGCAGAAAGCTTTAGGAAGAGACTTAGGACACCACAATTCCTAGGGAGAACTTGCCATCAGTATCCATGGATGTCCAAGCAGAATGGTGATGCTGGCTGCTGGGATTGTGTCTGGCAGACCTACTGGTCTCCATGAATGCTGAAAAGCATCTCAGGATTGCAGATGAGTTTATCTGAATTCTCATTGCTCCTGAATTTAGAGAACATCGGTCTTTGTAACTGAATAAATAGGCAGCAGAGAGGCTTCCTTCTGATGTTTCTATGGGGAACTGACACTTTGTGACCTAGGGTATTTATTGACAGCCCAGATAGCCAGCGACTACTCATTCTTCACCGTTCTGCTTGAAGTACCCTAGACATCAAACGCTACCCCCAAGGATGAATGGAGCCAAGAGAAAAGACAAATAACAAAACCAATAAGAGATTCTGAAACCGGGGAGAGAGAAAAAAAAAAGTAGGACAGCCAAGACAGGAGGTAGGCAAGTAGGCATAGATTAATAGTTTAAAGAACTTTTATTTGCAACATATAATTCTGAAACCAAAACAAGCAAAAACCAGAAAAAGGTTTTTAAACTTAACAATTCAGCAAAGAATTTTTAACTGAGAAGAGCTTCATTATTGATAAATGAATTAGTGAACTGAAAAGTCAAGATAAACTATATTTCAAAATACAGATATAATAAAAAACAGGTGGTAATTTCAGGAGAAAAAAATAGCAGCGCTACGTATTGGATCTGAAGATCCAAGATACAAATGTAAAGAGTTCCAGAATGAGAGAGCAGGGATATTAGAGAAGAGGGGAAGATTAACCAAATAATAACAGAATATTCCCCTAAACAAATAATAACAGAATAGTCCCCTAAGGTTAAAAAAAAGACTTCAGTCTGAATATTGAATATATTCATTTAAGCCTATTTAGGCTTGATGAGAAATGATCCTTAGGCATATCCTGATAAAATTTCTGTACTCCAAGATAAAGAGAAGAACCTTACAAAATCTGAAAGAGGGTGAAAAACGGAAAGGTATATACAAAGGAAAAGAATCAGGCATTAGATACTTGAAACTAGAGGAGCAATCTATAAGCTAATGAGAGAAAAGATACAATTTTTAAATTCTGAACCCAAAGAAATAGCTCACCTGTCAAAATATTTTTTAAAATGAAGAGAATATAGCATACACATTTTATGAAGAAAATTACCATCTAACCAAATAATTATTGAATCAAACAGAAAATGTAAGACAGAAAAAGATAAATAGAAGAGGAAATAAGAGAAAATCTAAATTTTTTCACTCATTTTGACTCTATACATTTATAATACATGATATATAATATATGATACATAATATATACAGCCATGCACATATGAATATAAATAATGCATGATACAGTGACTATTAGTGAACAATATGGAATATTTAAATTAAAGAATCATAATGCAGAAAATACAAGTAATAGTGTAGATTAAAAATGTTTAATTAATAAACCCAAACCTAGAGTTAGAAGAGAAGGCTAGTAAAAGTAAAAGGTCTTTAATGACACTTGGTACAGATATGTTTATTTCAGCACTATTTATAAAATGAAAACAGAACTAATGATTTTAATAAATCATAGTACAGACACCATGAACATTATGTGACCATTAAAAATAATAAATAGAAGGTATCCCAATTGTTTTGGATAGATTTACAACATTTGTTGTTTAATGAAAAGACAATGTGCAGAGTTGCATATATAAAATAAATCCCTTATATGTTTGAGTATGTGTGTACACCCATGTACATAATTACATGAGCATTGAGAAGAATTTGAAATTATAAACACTGGTCTGTTAATATTGGTTACCCTCTTGTGGGGAGTAGCAGGAAGAAAGAAGAGAGAGCACAAAAAAAAAACCAGTGAAAGAAAGATAATTGTTTTTAACAGTGTCCTTGTTAAAAAAGAAATTATGTATTATGTAATCTCAGTTATAGGTGTGTAATATATGATGTATATGCACAAAGAGATATATGGAATGATGGTTAAGGATGGTTATTAAAACTTTAATTGAAGTTTCCTTGAGGTAGTAAGTTTCAGAAAGTATATATTTTTCTATATTTACACACATATATATACAAAGATTTGTAAATATAAGGCTATCATCATAATTACAAATTCACAAAGGAATATTGACATTATCATAATTGTTCCTTATTGAACACAAACAAATGTCAGTAACTAGACTCACAACTTTATATATAACATATTTAATTCTACAAAATTTTTTAATTCTAAAAATGTATTATTGTCACATGACAGTTGAGGAATCTGAGTTTAAAGAAGGTTGTATTTCTTACAAAGGTGATAGAGATAGTGAGAAAAATTCAGATCTAACTGCCTCAAAATACTTTCTTTTGAATACTACTCAGTACTTTCCTCTTTCTGTCCCCCTACTCCAACCCATCGCTGTGCCTACTCTCCTAGGCACACTTTCTTCCTTTCACTAAAAAATATTTTTAAAGGTGTTTGATGCCAAAAGATTATTCTCTTCGCTGGATTTGTGCACTAACACCTCTCAGTTCTGCTTCCTGGGCATTACTGGACCTGCTAATTGTAACTATGACTAAGCTATTACCTTCACATGTTGTTTCCATTTTCGAGGGCATTTCACTATTTTTTCTTTATGTATTATAGATATTAGAAATAATTAGTTTAGAAAGTGTCAGTGTGTGTGAATAAACTTAATAAAGCCATAATTTTTTCTCACTTTTAGTGAGTCACATAAGCTGAAACTTCCTTCTTTTTTTTTTTCTTTAAAACATTAGCTGAGGGCCGGGTGCGGTGGCTCACACCTATAATCCCAGCACTTTGGGAGGCCAAGGTGGGCGGATCACTTGAGGTCAGGAGTTGGAGACCAGCGTAGCCAACATGGTGAAACCCCATCTCTTCTAAAATTACAAAACTTAGCTGAGCGTGGTGGCGGGAGCCTGTAATCCCAGCTACTCCGGAGGCTGAGGCAGGAGAATCGCTTGAGCCTGGGAGATGGAGGGTTGCAGTGAGCCGGGATGGAGCCACTGCACTCCAGCCTGGGCGACAGAGTGAGACTCGATCCCCCAAAAAATAAATTAATAATAAATAAATAAATAAAACAGTTGAAATCAAGACAGTGCTTCAATAGGCACCTCCTTCTTATGTATCTAATATTTCTAAACAGGTTGAGAAATTGCCTTACTGGGTGGGGATGTTTCCAATATTCTTACTCTTATTTGTCAACCTTATAGTTTTAGCCTTCAGTTATCAACCAGGATTTTTAAAAATTATTTTTTTCTTTAAAACTTTGGTTTAAATCAGGACAGTGCTTCAAAAGGCACTAAACTCTTCTCCAAAAAAAGATCATTTAATAATTACTCATATTTATTGATTGCTCACCATGTTTGATGTTATTTCAAGATAGATTTTCATGGTGATTTCGACTTCAACTGAAGCAGTAAGACCTTTACAAAAACCTGGTATGGAACATCATTTTCTCTCTTAAACTAAATGAGACAGTAATTGCTTTTATTTATTTGGTTTGCTACCAGTAAGATCCATTAATAGAGAATACGTATTACATTTACAAGATACTGGAGGTTCTTTGTTTAAACCACTTCATTGAGGTAAACTAAAATACAAAAGCTGCACAAATTTAATGTATACAATTTGAGTTCAGAAATAAGTATATATGCATGAAACCATCACCACAATCTATGTCATAAACCTGTCCATCACTTTCAAAAGTTTCCTCCTGCCCTCTTATTTGTTCTTATTATTATGGTGATACAAACACAATATAAGATGTACTCAATTAGCAAATTTTTAAGTATACAATACAGTATTTTTAATGGTAGACACTATGCTGTACAGTAGATCTCTAAGACCTAGTCATCTTGTATTGTCTAAACTTTGTACCCTTTGACTAATACCTCCCTATTTTCTCATCCTCCCAGCACCTGACAACCACCATTCTATTCTGTGCTTAACTGACTTGTATAGAAATGTACGACCTTAGAGAATTTATGCTGTTGGTAGTTGATACATTCTCTGTCCTCACTGAAGATTATTATCATTAGAAAGTTTAATTACAAATTTCCTACACTTTCTAAATATTTGCTTTAATGAATTGAAAACATTTTAAACAAAATTCAGTGTCTGAATTTAAAAAATACATGTGTGTCTAGAAGCACAAATACCTCATGATCTCACTTATATGAGGAATCTGGAAAAGTTGAACTCATAGAAATTGAGAGTCGAATAGTGGTTATCAAGGGCTGGGGGACAGGAGAAGGATGAGGAAAGGGGAGATGTCAGTTAAAGGGTACAAAGTTTTAGTTAGACAGAAGTAATGAGCTTTAGTGACCTATTGCAGAGAATGGTGACTATAATTGCTAGTAATGTTTCGCATATTTCAAAATTACTAAAGGTAGATCTTAAATGTTCTCACTATAAAAAATAATGAATATGTCAGGTGATGGATATGGTAACTAGCTTGATTTAAGCATTTTGGAATGTAAATATATATCAAAACATCATATTATAACCCACACATATATGCAATTATTATTTGTCAATTAAAAGTAAAATAAATTTTTAAAAATACATGTGGGCTTATTTTGTGAGAAACCCAGGGGAGAGATGTAAACTCTGCTTCAGTCCTATCTCAGCTGTTCTCCTAAGAGGACCAAGTCTGGTGTTCAAATTTTTTAAACTTATTTTGTATTATTTAACTTATTGTTTTAACTTGTTGTTTAACTTATTCTTTTAACTTATTTTGTATTACCATTTTCATCTTCATCACTCTTTCCCTGAGCACTAGCCTTTCAGGGCTCCCAGTATTTATTTATGGCGAAAGTTTGGGGACAGTAATAACTCAGGTATAAATTGGATAATAAGAAAATAAAACAGTGACTACTAGCCCATAATGTTGAACATACACAACACTTATAGAATCTTAAAAAACCTCAAATAAAGCCACTCAGTGACCTTATCTGGAATAAGATAAAGGAGACAAGCGCACTCTGCAAACGCAAAAGGAACTAGACATCTCCTTTTTGTGACAGACATGACTGACTGCTACTTTTTTTTTTAACCAATGTTAGCTGCAGTCCAGCTTTAAACCTCTCATCTCCTAGAAATATATCATATACTTGTATATGATATCCAATGACTCAACTATCCCTGTTAATGACATCATATCCAGAATAGGACGCTGATCTCTTGAACCCTCCTGAGCGCAAAGCACAAGCTCTAATCCTGTAAGGAGTTCCTCCCAAGTCCTATTTCTGAAGGACTCCTCGGATTTCCTGCAATATGGTCCAATTGGCTGCAGCAAGCATGATAAACCTCATCTCATTTTTCTACAGGTGTGTTCCTGGTGATATGTGGTCAGTAAGTATCTTTTATATATTATTTTATTATTTCTTTACCTTAGAGCATGTTTACTGAAAGGTAGAAGGAAAATGTAGCTTATATCCACTGCTGTGAAGTATTGTGGCAAACTGTGCATAAGCATTCCCATTAACAAATACATTAAGCTAAATATTTAAAGAGTAGATGTTATACCAGATCTTTATTATGAAGATATCCTTTATGGACTTTATTAGAGAAATTGGTTAGGGTGTCAGAATAGGCTGAGCACACATGTTTCTCATTTAAAATACAAACCCAGGCTGTCTAAATTTACACTATCCAAACATCTACAGGAAAAGATTAGGATCAGATATTTTATTGGAGCCCCCTGAGTGGGACACTGGAGAGGGAAAACAACATAATGTGATACGATTTTTGGCATTTTCTTCACTTTTAGTACCTGCAGTTGAATCATATGTGTTACAAACACAAAGAGAAATATGCTATCTTACTAATCACAGTGTTCTGAATGGACAATTATTTAGATGGATCATGAGTGAAAGGCGGATTGGAGTAGAGAAGCAATATTTTGATGTTGCACTTATGTGTCAGAAACTATAAAGACACTGTCTCATTCAGGTCATGTAAAATCTGAGAAAGAAAGCATCACTATCCCGTTTCACGGTAAGAAGTAGTAAGGAGCTTCTCAGATTCAGAAGTTCTTGTACCTGCCATTGCACAGTTAGCTTATTAAGGGCTTACAACCTCTCCAGTGTTTCAGATTGTGGCTGGAATGTAAACCAAAGGTGTTGGAAGTATGAGCACTTTCAGGGTTGAACCTTAAACCTTGAAGTCTAAGAATAATGCTCTTAAAACAAGATAAAAGTGAAAAAAGGGAGTACTTTGTGAAAATTACATGTGAGGATGACTAAAATAAATATGCTAAAATGTAATTAGGAGAAAGAAGTGGCTCAGTTTCAGTTATTTGTTACCATTTTTTTCCCTCATGTTTTATCTGTATGTAAGACAGCATTCCTTTTTGGCATAAAGTATTTTAATGCAAAGTTAACAATTTGGTCACAAACTAGTTTTACAAACTAGTAATTTGTACTTCTCTATTTCCTATCTCAGAATTCTGATTTCCTATCTAAGAATTCTTCTCTTTCTTGAATTACTGGCATCAGAGATACCCTTGCATATTAGAGGGATATGTTCCTACCCAAAAAGGTGGAATAGTGCCTTGAATATCCCAGCAGAAATATCACAATGTCGAGACAATTAGTAGGCATGATACACGCAATATTCATGTAAGAGATACATGCAGGGAGGAGCTACTGGTTTTTCATTAAGTTCTGTGCTTCCAGCTGGCCCAACACTCACAGCTATCACTCCCCAGATCCCATCACATCATAAGTCACAGCTCCTCTATCTCTGCATTTACCTAACTCCTATTTCTAATGAATAAGCTCTTAGCCTTTAATATGCCTCCCGCTGTTTTTGCTGCTGCTCTAAAAATATGCCTTTCTTCTGTCTCTGTCGCTTTGTATTCAACACATTTGTAAATTTACATTATACTGCTGAGTGGGAGACGTTTTTGTCTACTTTCAATACTACAGGTCTTTTATCTTTTGATCTTTGCCCATAGAGCTGTGACACTGGGCTAAATCCTGTTATTCCAGTATACACTGAAATTCAGTGCTTGTATGTGTCAACTACATTAGGCTAGATTATGCTACAGTAAGAAAAACTCCTTCCTCGTTGCAGAAAACAACAAATATTTATTTCTCACTTTTGCTACATTGCCTGCTACATTATTTTGTTACATACTTGCGACATGTTTTGCTATATTTCTGTTGGCCCGGAGGCTCTGTCTGTGACTAAATAACCCAAGGTGATGGTTTAGTCATATTTTCAGATGTGATCAGTTACTGTAACATGGGGAATATGACATATCTTACTTCCTCTCACATACCATTGGCCAAAATTACCCCACCAATCAAATGGAGCAGAGCAATGCAATCCTACCTTGTTCTGTGAGGCAGAGAGCTGGAAATAGTTGGCAAATGGCATTAATGGCTACTACATGAAGCATGCATAAAGGGAAACATTAACACATTTAAATGGCCTACTGTTGTCTTTTTCATGAAAGTGTTCTATTGGGTCCCAGTAAGAAAAGAATTAATATTGACCGAATACTATGTTCCATGCCTTGTGCTTGGTTCATTCTTTCAGATCTTAGTAAATTTAATATCATTCCATCAGAATAAATTATCTCAAAAATCAGAGAGAAATACACTCAATATTATAGAAGTAGCAAAAATGTATGCAAAGCCCACAGTGTCTTCAAGCTTCCACTTGATTCTTGTATTGCAAGTATAGTCCCATTCTCCATTATCCCCGCTGTCTTGGTTTGCCTGTTTCTCCTCTGACATCTTTCTTTAATCCTTAACAATAAATCCCCCAATGGCAGCAATTGGGCCACTTTGCCCCCTAATTAGTCTTATTTATGGGAGTATCAGGATGAGATTCAAGGAACCATAGACTAGTCATTAAGTGGCTCAATATCAAACAGTCCATGATATTATATTGACCATTTCCTTCTCTTTCAGGGCCGTTGCTTTATTTTTAAATTAAAGTTATGTCATTTATTCTTTCTGGCTATTTTGTGTCTAATTATTCTCTGTACTTAAATCCCTGTTTGGGTGTTTCTAATTGTCTCAATCTCTTTAAAATAGGAGACATTTATTTCACAGCCCCAGTCCCCATGCCCCAACCCTGCTTTTCAGGATGCTGACTGCCCAAATGCTCTGCCCTGTTACTACTGTCCTCACTCCTGGTTCTATTCCTGTTGGTTCCTTTGCTCTCAAATCCTGAAGGTCCCTAGACTGCTTTGTTCACTAATGGCAACAGGAAATATTTCCAAACACAGAAATCTATGCAGGATCAGCAGGGAGTTCTATGTCACTATTAGGTGACTAATTGCTCCACAAATGATCATTATCATGCAAGTTCATAAAATAACAAGCCATCACATGTTTCTCCATTGACCTATTAATGTGATAAATTATAATTATTGCTTATAGAACATTAAGCCAGCCTAGCATTTAAGTAAATCTTGTGTGTTTATGTTTTGATTATTTAATTCATTGTAGTACTCAGTTTGTGAGTTTTCCCCTCTTCAGCTTTCCCCTACGTAAATTGAAAATAATATATTTTTCTTTCTGTGATCTCTGTGAAATTTAGAGTGCTTTTGCCCAGTGTCTACATAGAAAGAGAAAAGCTGGGCAGAAAAAGCAAATGGAATAGAATGAGCTCACGAAGTGGCTCTTGCTCTGATTTCTCTGGCTTGAGGAAACAGAGAGAGCAGGAAAGGAAGTGCACTAAAGGGACCAGGACTTTGAAAATTTCTCCTAAAAATCAGCCAGAAAGAAAAACACCATGCGCTAGCAGTGGCAAATAGTATGTCCTTAAACCCAACACATTGTCGAATTTCTTATAAAGTTTAGGAACAGAGTAAAGAGAAAGGTAAAGGAAGAGTTTTGGATGCCCCTTAAACTTTATCTCCATACAGTCATCTAGGAAAGTAGGTGCACTTCAGACCCCAGAATATTGTAAAGCCATGAATATCACACTACAGTCACATCTTAGAGGTCCATGTCTGCTAGCTGTTTTAAGCCTTAGCACTCCAAGGGAATGAATTTCGAATTGATTTCTCAGGACTCAATTGGATAGCAGAAGTATTAGTAGCTTTCTCACTGTCGTGATTCTACACTGTACAAGTTACTTGGGTTAACTGCTGAAAGAGTAAATACAAAATGTTTAATGGCTCAGACAAAATATGTGTTTATTTCTGTTTATGTAAAAAATCCAGGACAGTTCAATATAATCTTCCCAAATTTTCTACTTGAAAATTGAATGGGTTTTCTTGTTGTCTTGGGCAATGACCAATAGCATGTTCTAATTTCAGTCTGCACCGTATTAATAACTTTCTACGCTCTAACATGGACAGATTGAGAACTTATTCCCAGAGACTCCAAACACCAACTCCACTATTTTTGGTATCAGGGACATGGTACTTTGGAAAATGTTGGTGAAGTTAATAACAGTTTTAAAGGATATGACTTCTCTCTGCCTCAGCACATGGGCATTTGTCAGACTTTAATAGTATTGCAATATAATGGTAAGTATATAAAATATTATACAATATATAATTTATATGCTATCTATTTGTTGGAATTTATAGATTAGATTTCACTGGGTAAATGAGACAGAAATACTCTGTAGGAATAAAAATATGTGCTGTATCACTGGGGTTAGCTCAAATGGGGCATAAAGAATGAGTGATTTTTCATTTATTATTGGATTAGTGAGACTAAATAAGCTGGAGAACTCAGCCGCATTTGAGTACATGCATACTCATTTTACCTGATTGCTCTCTTCCCATAAGTAAGAGAGGTTTGATACAGAAATAACTGGAAATTGTACTGGCATGTTATTTTGCAAGCAATATCCTATTGATGTGGGCTGATGTAAGGAAGAAAGAATAGCACAGAAGTGTGAAGGTGACTCATAACGCCATGTTCATATTATTTTCTATAAATAAGAAAGATAGCATGCATCATCATCAGTACAGCTGAAGGAATCAGCTTTTTACCCTAGTGCCAAGCTATATTATTTCACATTTATACTATTGTTATGAATATGAACAGTGAAGGCTCCAGTGGAGAGTCAAAATGATTTTGAGGATATGCACTTTCTCCTATACAAGACATTCCATTTTTCTTCCTTTAATAGCTGTTTATGCTAAAATACAAAATGCAGCCTGATAAATATCTAACCTACTAAAATATAATTCCACTTTGCAGAAAGATTTGGATGGTGCTACTTATTTTTAATATTCTATTTCCTTCAGGAATGAAAAGAAATGCTGGTATTGCATAATGTTTCATTTCCTATTATACATATTCAGGGAATTTATCATCTCGCCATAAATATAAAACTTAAGCAACAAAATAGAATGACTGAAGACCTTGCATTTTTAAATCTCTTCTTTAATTTTCTGGGATTGAGGTGGCATCACAACTTGGCGACCTGCCATTAGAGCAAGACTTTTGTCAGCAAGAATCCTTGTTTAGGATTACGTTGAACAATGAACATGCAGATTATAGGTAAAGACAGGAAGAATGATGCTTCCCCTGTATTTTCCCTTTTCTTTAACCTTTAGGAAATATTTTCTTTTCTTGCCTTGGCTGTTGTCATTGCCTCTTGGAGTCCTTACTTTCATCTGACCAAATTATTTCACTGTGTTTTTCATACAGCAACTGGGGCAAAGTTGAAAAAAGAAGAAAAATAGGCAACAACTGCTTAAAATGTTTGAATTGCTTTCCACTCTACTCTGAAAAAAATATATAATTCTTCTCATTTTGGCCTGAAAAGGACAAGTTCTTCCATCCATTCTCTCCAACTTTTTCCAGCAGTATTTTTTCCATCACTCATTATTTAGGTGACCATACATTCCAACTTATCTATATTTACTATCCCAATTTACTTTTGCTGTACAATAATTCCTTCCAGTTTATTATATGCCCTGTTGATAATTTATTATGATAATATTTGTTTTGATACTCCAACTGTCCCTCATTCATCCCACAGAAGACTGGCTTCTGTGTCCTCTTGAAAAGTCCCAACTATTTTATGAGCACTTCCTTGCTATTTATTCAGTCTGTTACAAAGTACTTTTATTAATAGTCATATGGAAATAGTTCAGTACCTATTTGGTTATCCTTCCATTGTACTTTCTTCTTCTGCCATTATCTTATCTCATCTAGTACTATGTGACATACACGTGCAGTTAAAATAGTCTTCACATCACATGTGGTTAAATCTGACAAAAAAAAAAAAAAAAAAAAAAACCAGCAGGATCCTGTCTCTTTTCCTGATTCTTTTAGTTTCAAAATCACTTAGACTTCCCTTTTCAGAGCAGCATGCACGGCTCCCACCGACAACATGAAGGGAACTTAGATTAAACTGGGTAGTAGTAACAGCTAATTGCTTGCCATTTACAGTTGTGGTGGGAGACAGATTGTTTTTTGAAACTTATTTTTATTTTTTTATTTCTTTAATGAAGCCTAATTTATTTATTTACTTTATTTAATTTTTGTTTTTATTTTAAGTTCCAGGGTACATGTACAGGATGTGCAGGTTAACATGGTGGCACTGCCTACCATTTGGATTCTTTGTTCCATGTTGTGGCTTGAGCACCAGGCAGCCATTTGGCATTTCAATAGGAAACTTGAAAATTATTGGTTAAGTATATGTAAATTATGTGTAGAAATTAGAGATTTAGCAATCTTGCTATAGAGCCTATAAAAGATAGTCAGAATATTATTGCTATATTGATTTTGTAATTTACTGTATGTGATAAATGTACAATTATTCACTTTGTTTGACAATGTTCTTTTTAAATTTTTTTTGCAGTAAACCCTTCAGACAGCAATGTGTTGAAAAAGAAGAAGAAAGAAAGCTTTCTTAAAAATTTTCTCACTGATATTCCATTTCTTAAGAGTTGATTTTGTGCATGAGTAATTAGCACAAAATGCTCGTAGACAATAAATATCTATGTGGATAATATCACTAAGCATATGCAATCAAGGCACAGTCTTTTGAAGAACATCATTTTGAGAAGACAGTGCCTAAAGATGACGATTTAATATGTACAGTTGCAGAGGTATGATGAAGTAACACTAAAAGTGACTTTTTTTTAGACTAAATAACTGCTGATCTAAATGAATTTCACTAATTTCAATTGTCACTTTTCTTGGGCATGTACATTAAAAATTGCTGTTAATGTGTTGGCTTCATTAGCAAAAGAAATTCATGAGTAGTTAAAGAATGACAGTTTTATATTATCATCTTCAGATACTTCAAAAGGAAATTTCATTAATTTACAACCAATAATGGTTCAATTTTGTCATCCAATTAATAAAATCAAAGTAAAACCTTTGCAAGTTCAATCTGTCAAAGGTGAAACATCTGACCTTATGAATGGTCTTATACATTCAATTTAAGGTTTAATATTGCATATAGAATTACTACTGGAGAACACAAATGTAATGGAGCACTCTGTTGTGGTGAAAACAATGTGTTTAAATTAAGAAATCTACTAAACACAAATAAATCATGGTACAGACATAATTTATATTTGATAAATCCAAATAAAAACTCTACATGTCAAAATTTACATATGTAGTAACCAAATTAGAAAACGAGACGAAGTTAATGTTGATTACAACATAAATCTTCAATTTGGCTGTATATATCTTCTTTCTTTGCTGTCTGTCTTCAATTGGATTTTAGAAATGTTTGATCTGCTGAAAAACTATTTTGTAAATTGTCCTGTGCTTTATAGTTTTATTCAACTTTTTAAACAAACAATTCCTCTTATATTTTGGTTTCGTATGGTTCATATTTAGTTTTAAATTGTTATTTAAAAAGTTAATTTTAAGCAGAGCCATAATTCATCATCTTTTCAAGATTTTATTGAATAGCAATCACAGGAAACAAGATTTTCAAACCAGTAAACTTTAATAACCATCTCGAGAGAAGTTAGTGAAAAATTTAAAATGTTAAGAAATGACAAGTCAAGAGTGTAGAAGATTTAATTTTAACACTTGATAATTATACTTTGGAAATATTTTGCCTTTATTATAAGGATCTTTTGATGGAGCTTCTTTTTTGTACAAATTTACGGGTTACATGTGCAATTTTGTTACATGTATAGATGGTATAGTGGTCAATTCAGGGTTTATAGGTTACCCATCCCGTGAATAATATATATTGTGCCCATTAGCCAATTTTTTGTCATCCATTCCCCTCCCAATCCCTCACCTTTCTGAGTGTCCAATGTCTATCATTCCAGCGTGTTCATGTGTACACATTATTTAGCTCTCATTTACACATGAGAACATGTGATATTTGACTTTCTGCTTCCGAGTTACTTCACTTATGACAATGGCCTCTAGTTCCATCCCTGATGCTGCAAAAGACATAATTTCATTCTCTTTTATGGTAGAATAGTATGCCATTGTGGAAATATACCACATTTTCTTTATCCATTCCTCCATCGATGGACACTTAGGTTGATTCCATATCTTTGCCATTGTAAATAGTGCTGCAATAAACATACTTGTGCAGGTATTGTACTGATCTCTTTTCCTTTGGATAGATAACTGTATGGGATTGCTGGGCTGAAAGGTAGTTCTATTTTTCGTTCTTTGAGAAATCTCCGTACTGTTCTCCATAGAGGTTGTACTATTTACCTTCCCACCAATCGTGTATAAGAGTTCCTTTTTATTTGCAAATTCGCCAATGTCTGTTATGTTTTGTTATTTTAAAATAATAGCCAGTTTGACTTGTGTAAAATGATACCTCATTGTGGTTTTATTTTGCATTTCTATGATGATTCGTGGTATTAAGCATTTTTTCATAAACCTGTTGGCCATTTTTATGTCTTCTTTTGTCTTTTTTACAACAGTTTCCTTTCACTAAAAAGTGCCCACTTTTAATGGGATTATCTCTTTTTTGCTGTGGCGTTGTTTGAGCTCCTTGTAAATTCTGGATATTCATCTTCTGTCAGATGTATAATTTAAAAATATTTTTCTCTCTTTCTACAGGTTGTCTTTTCGCTCTGTTGATTAATATTTTCTGCTTTTCAGAAGCTTTTTAGTGTAATTAAGTCCCATTTTTCTACTTTTATTTTTGTTGCTTGTGCTTTTGAAGTCTTAGTCACAAGTTCTTTTCCTAGCCCAATGTCCAGAAAATGTTTTCCTGTTGTCTTTTCTAGTACTTGTATAATTTTGAGTCTTATGTTTGTCTTTAATTCCATCTTGAGCTAATATTTTAGTATGGTGAGAGATAGATATCCAGTTTCATTCTTCTGTATACGTCAATCCAATTTATCCAGTACTATTTATTGAAAAAGGTGTCCTTTCTCCAATGTATGTTCTTGTCAGCTTTTGTAAAAGATTGATTGTTTTTAAATATGTGGCTGTATTTCTGGGTTCTGTATTTTGTTCCATTGTTCTATATATCTAGTTTTGCCTCCAAGTTAGCCTGGTCTCCAGGTCTATGTTTCTCACCATTATCCATCACCTTGTCTTGACAGAGCCACAAGTTAGGAAAATACGTTGAAAGAATAGGGAGCTTTATTTTGTATAGCTTTTTTATTCTCAGCTGTGGGCTCAATTTAGTCTCCTAAGCAAAGGGTAGGTCCTGACATGTGTTTCTTAATTAAAATTTACATCCATTATTAATTTTCCCTGTGGCAAGTAGCTTACATTGTATTTTGTGATATGACTCTCCAGTAGGCAGAAGACTTTGCTTTTAATGTTTATAATATCACATTATTGTCTACGTGATAATACACAAGCCACTTAACATATCTACATGTAATATGGACATTTGGTGAGCAGATAAAATAATATATGTGAACATCTTTTAAAAATGTAAAGCAGAAACTTTTGTGTGGCTGCATTAGATGTAATATCTAATACTATATTGTTTTTGGTCTGACAGTTACCAAAAAATCTCATCTCAGAATTTTGACTATCAGGTAAATGTGTACCCTTTAGATCCTGCCTTCCCATTCTCTTTATGAGCAAAGAGAACTATGCTTTCACAGACTACTGGTGTTTGAAAGTGGAGCACTGCAGTATTCTGTTGTTTTAATAATGCCTATCTTGCCTGAAGCACTAAGAAAACAATTTGAATCTCCTAGTCAAGTGTGTGTGTTTTCTATCAATATGTAGTTATCATGCCACCAAGTGTTGTAGTTCTGAATGGCAGTGCTCTCACAGTGAGCTTTAAATCAGTTAATTACTACATTTGCTTTTTTTGGCGGGGGAAAAATTACCTTCATGCTACCACAATTCTGTTTTCTTGAATGTTTTTGATATTGCTTTAATTACATATACATTGAATGAGTGCTCATATGTTAATAAAGGAGTATTTGCTAATGTGTTGAATGTGGTTCTAGAAGTATAATTTCTTTAGCACTTTGATAATACAGCACAAAAGATAATAAGGAAAATAGTCTAAGTTATCCCCCACAAGTCTACAGTAGGACTGACCGCAGTGTTATTAAGATTTTCAGGAGTTTTCCTGGCTATCAATCAAAGCTTCTAAAAGTCATCCCTGTGTTTATATTTTTACCATATAAAGACTTCCTACTACTATCCTTTTGTAAGTCTATGTAAGTATGAGCATGAGTTACTAAATCATCCAATCAGCTATTTGAATAGAGGAAGGATTTTACCTAAAAGCAATAATTTTTCTCTTTTGAAAATGTAAGGAAATCAAGCATAAAAGTAAAGAAAGGGATGGAACAAAAGAGGAAAATGAGGTAGTAGGACTGTACTAATAATCAGAGTAGCTAACAAAAGGTCAAAGGGTCATGGCCAAGAGAAATAATTTCTAAGACAACGATAAAGTGATAACATTAACATCTATACGAATAGAGATGTGTTCTCCTAAATAGAGTCCTTTATCAGAAACAAAGGAAGCAATGTGATAACGAAACAGAACAGCCAAGCAACAGAATGACATTAAATTCCAATTGAGATAGTATACCTTTTGCTGAACATATGGGATACATTCTTGGGAATCTAGCGACTGAAACATAGCATTTATAGTCAATAAGGAAGTACTCAACCAATGCAAGAAATAACCAAATAATAGATAGCTTCCACAAATATGGTGCTATAAGTGTTGTTGCTCAATAAATATTTATTGAGTGAGTGAATGAATTAACGGTTAATGAAGGAAATACTCTTCATTTTCAACATTGATTCCCTAATTAAGGCTTTCATCTCCTTCACACCTAAAATTCAGTCATTTCTACATAACCATCACAACAAATATGATGGTTATTATTTGACTGAATATTATTGTGATTTAAGAAAACAAAATCAATGTTTCAATAGTTATTGATTGCTATTTAACCAACCATCTCTAAATCTGTTGAAACACTAATCTTAAAAAATATATTATTTTTCACCAAGTGCCTCTGTGTTAATTGGGTTCAGCATAGTGGTCTTTGCTTGGGACCTCACATGTGCTACCAGATAGGGGCTGGGCCTGGATACTGTTGGCTACAGTATCTACATGCTACATACAATTTCTCCACAAGGCTCAGGCTATTCACAGCATGGTTATTGGGTTCTTAGAGACATCATCCACAAACAAACATTCCGAGAGACAAAAAGTAGAAGAACATCTGTGTCTGTAAATTGGCACGTCATAATGTCTGTGATATTCTGTTGCTCAAAGCACTCAAAGAACCTGCCCAGATTGAAGGGGAGAAAAGATAGGGTCTAACTCTTGAAGAGGAGAAGGAATCACAAAAAATAGAGCCATCTTAATTTATCTAAATCAACAATACAAATACTAATAATAGACATATTTTACGACGAGTATGAGAATGATGAGGATGAGATGAGTTGTGTATTTCTTACTAATCCTTACATCTTCACATAACCCCATATCCTGATTTTTTGCATGAGGAAACTGAGGATGAAAATAGTTATGTAACTTGGTGAAGGTCACAACTTGGTGAGGGCTCAAACTTAAATATGCTTTTTCCATTTTATTTCATTATCTTCTCACCCTACCACAAAATCTACTATAATTCCCTGTGATCTCCCACACCAAAGCTAAATTCCTTTGTATAATTTCATCAATAATCTTTCCTATTCCTGCTTATGCAATCTTACATGTTTCTGCATCCCACGGTGTACCCTCATTCCATTAATGCCCAGCTATTAACCCATATATATTGTCCCAACTTTGCCTTGTTCCCCTTACCTGAAATGCCCTCATCGCTTCCCACCACCTCCAATCTAAATTCTACCAGCCATTCATACATTTCTCATAGCCCATCATTTTTTTTTTTCTCTGAACGTCTCCGTATCTATCTATAGCAGCCCATAGTTATGTCCCATTTTAGTGTATCAGCTGTTGGACCTCCATTGTTGGTGTTTTCACATGTTAGTTTTATCATTCCAATTGTATTGCACATTTTGTGGCTGTATCTATATCACCACATCTGGTATTCTTTCTGAATTCCTTGTAGCCTCCATCCTCTAAGACTGGTTCATCGGAGAATTGGCAATAAACTTCAACATGGTGCTTTAGTCACACTAAAGTCAATTGAAACCTTCCATACAAAAATGATCAATGAAAATATTAGTCTGAAGTAACTAGCTTGACCATAGTGAAGTGAAGCATAGTATGCAGATGATACACTTATGCACATTTTGCACTATGTTCATCCTTGAGCCTTCTCAGCAAATTAGAGGGAAAACCTACAGGTCAAAGTGGCCCAGCAAAGCTGCAGAGTTATTGACTACATGCTGTGATTTCTGAATTTCTATTAAAGAGCATTTTCTCTTCTACTAGGTGGAAATGGAAATGGCTTTAATAAGATAATGTATTCCACAATTCAGAATGAAGCTTAAGGCATGTGTTCACTAAAAGCATATGATCTTTTCCATAGAAGGTTCTGATCTGTCTTATGAAGAGTAGAGGGATTAAGAAGTTCTTGGGCATATTGTAGGGAAGTAGGTATTTCAAGAAAGGAAAAAGGATACCTGTTAATAGTTTGCCTAAGGTGGCATTTGCTAATGTTTCTAACTTCAAAAAAGAGAAAAGAGGACATCCTAGGGCATAAGTCCTCCGGCTGTCAAATAGAGAGGTTGGCCTGATAGCCTACGGAGTCCCTACCATCAGACACTCCCATCCCAATATCCTTCATACATACATGTAACCACTCATTGCAGGTTGGAGATTATTTAAATGCTGGCTTGAAATGTTGCTGAGCATTAGGAGGAGGATAAAGTGGGGCAATATTTTACAGCATCCTGCACCACTTTCCTTATCCCATACAATTACTAACTATTTTCCTGAGACAAATTTCCAAGTCAAATTGTAAATCAGCCATGAGTCTTACACAACAAAATGAACTGATCAAGCTCTCCATAGTGTCAAGTCCTCAGGTAGAGATTTTAGAAAGTAGTTTAGGAGGCAGGCTAAAGAATATAGCCAGCCAGCTTGTCTTACCATTAACTTTATTTCCCTTTCTATCAGGGACAGGTAATCTTGTTTAGCTGGCCACTTAGTCTTAATAAGCCAACATGAAAGCTCTAATGGGAATGCTAAAAATCTCATTTATAAGAGTCAGATGATTTCTGGTTACTAGCGGCACAATTTTCTATCTCCAGTTGACCAGGTATTTGACGTCTACTGGTGTGAGAAAAATGACTTTATAATGGGGAACTGAACAAATGTTTGAGTTTTATTTTGTCTTGAGGGTAATTATTACTAGAGTTCTCTTGCCCTTGTTTTGCCTCTCACACTAAAAACAATATTTCAAAACTGAAATATGTGCCATGGAGTAAGGCATGTGGTTGTGCAAAGAAAATTGTAAGGTTTGAAAATAGTCTTTCTTGGCATCCCTGTCTATTCCAAATCTAAAATAATTTTAGAATAAATTGGAGCACTCTGAATATTTATAAATGATTTAAGGAATCCAGTATATCTAGTTTCTCCAAGAAAAGTCATGTCAATGATCCTTGGAAATTCTTTATGTTTATCCCTGTCCTGCAACATGGCAGGGAATGGGATGCTCCATGAAGCTTCCAACCTTATATCATGTTGCTCCTTGTCTAATTTAGAGCACCGAGAAGGGCATGATACATTGCTTTTGCTACTCTAGCCTCAGCGGTGGAACATCGAACCCTGACATGGATGTTCTCTATAGTAGACCCTGTCCCTTCCCTGTGTTTTGGCCACATCCTATCCCTGCTACTCTGAGCCTTTGGCTTGAAGAGAGCAGGAATGACTGCAAATTTGGTCTCCGCACTCTGTTCAATGAGGAGGTGGAGAGAGTGACTGCTATTGCAGCATGTGCAGCAGATGCATCTGCCTAAATCCATATGCAGTAGTCACAGGGAGAAAACATTGTGGGCTCTTTTTTCTGGCAAAGGAGGCAAAAAGGCCCAACGTGTCTCCCACCACACCTACAAACAGAGCTGGGCAGCAGCTGAGACAGCCGTAGCCACAGTTAGGAAGGAGTGAATTAATTATTCTCTTCCTCACTTATATTAGATGTTGAAGCAGTTGCCCATAAGAAGCAGCTCTTTTCAGCACTTGTGCCGTACATTCCTACTCATTTTTCATGCATTCTAGAGCATATGGGTTGTGTAATTGGATGGTTCACCCAATCCCATCACCATCTGCTCTCCAGATAAGCTGCACAAGCCTTTGGTAAAGTAATGAAAGATTTGACTGTCCAAAAGCCTCTTCTCCCAAGCAAAACTTTATACTTTCAAAATAAGTATATTATCATAATGAATTCTGTCCATATATGTCCATATAAATTTTGTTATTACTTCACATGTAAAAAAAACCCACAAAATAATTTTGTTGAATTGAATCTATACTGTTACCAAGTATACAGAAATAATAATTGTATTAATTTTAAAATAAAGTTGCCTTCAAAATGGTACCACAGATTCACATTTTAAATAGATTTGTCTATGTGGAAATTTCTCTACATATCAGTCACATCAACAGTCTTCTCAAAAAATATGAAAATGAATTAATTTGCATGTTTTTGCCAAAAAAATAATCTCACAAACTTCAATTTGACTTGTGAGGTGTTGATTTCAAGATGTGCCAGGATTTGAAGTGGATTCTAGTCATAATACAACTAGGTTGCAGTTACACTTCTCTGTGATTCTATGCTCTCTCCTCCTTCTTGATTTGTCTTTATTTTCAGACTGTTTATAAGATGGATTGAGCATTTTCCAGCATCACATCCAGACATGACAAATCCAGAAGACAAAGAATCTGTATTCCTATGACTCTTTCATGGAATTGAGAAAATGTCTCTTTAAAGTTCCTCAGATTTTTTTCTTATATTATTCACCAGAATTGGTTGAATATCCATTTCTATACTAATCATGAGCAAGCAAAATAAGGTTTTCATGATTAGCTTACATCAGTCCTTGGAAAGTCAAGCATCAAGAATATTTATAGTTATCCATTAAATACACACAAAGGCTTCCAATAATCTGTTTACTTTGATATCTTCCTGCCATCTAGTGGATTATGCATCTGGCTTATACTGGGGAAATGTAGGAAATTTTAGGTTTTCCAGCCATATTTACATGCCAAAGTGGTCTAGATGCTTACTCTTAACTTCTTTAAATAGTTCAAAAAATTACACTCAAGGTTATCTTCGCATAGAAACACCAATTCTAGCATTTGTTGAAATTGTTCAGATGGAAATATAAAAACAAAATGATGTAGCCAGACTAACTTTAAGAAGTATCACTTCTGATGTGTGTTCCTGCAATGATTGCACTTATTGACAGGTGTTATTTGTGTTTGAAATCTCCTTGTACTTATTCTTCTTCAAGTGAGATATTGAAGAAATAAAACAAAGAGGCTGGGAACCACATTTAATGCCAATCGGAAATGCACATGTAAAACAACAACAAAAATGTTCCTTATTCCTTATCTGAGTCTAGAAAGACGAATGGATAAAATGCAGTATACCCAGAATAAATCTCAAAGAAGACAATATTAAATATGAATATGGATTCAGTTTCCCCAAAGGGAAACCTATGTATGGCAGGAAAACCAGTGATTATGATGTCTAGTGCACATTCCCAAGATGACAAAATTGACTTCTTAGTAACTTTCGTTTGAAGAGGCTGGTCAGGCATTTATCCATTTTTGCTAAACCTAGACTATGTTTTGAAATTATAAAAACAGAGAATTTAACAGTGAAAAATCATAGAACTGTTATTTTCAAGTTATATCAAGAAACTGATTCAGTCTTAAAATGAAATTGCTTAATCTACTCATGTTTTTTTGCATAAGAATTCAGTAGTCTTAGAACATTTTCTAAGAGTAAGTTTTACCTTTCCATTCTTCAAGTTTTGGACTTTGGTGCCAATAAGTCAATCCTATCATCATTTGTGCTCTGTTTCTAAGACTTTTAGGACCTCTGGAATATTTCCAGTTTAAAAGTGAGCAGAATAAAATAGCAGAATGAGCCACGAATTTTGGAAACAATGGAACTTGAGAAAGCTCTGGAGCCTTGAAAAGCTAAGCAGGAAACGACATTTTAAGAGTCTTGGCCAGGCACGGTGGCTCATGCCTGTAATTCCAGCACTTTAGGAGGTTGAGGCAGGTGGATCACTTGGAGTCAGAAGTTTGAGACCAGCCCGGCCAACATGGTGAAACACTGTCTCTACTAAAAATACAAAAATTAGCCAGGCATGGTGGTGTGCGTCTGTTATCCCAGCTGCTTGGGAGGCTGAGGCAGGAGAATCACTTGAACCTGGGAAGTGGAGGTTGCAGTGAACCAAGATCATGCCACCGCACTCCAGCCTGGGCAACAGAGTGAGACTCCGTCTTAAAAAACAACAACAACAAAGAATCTTAACTACTTTATATTTAAGAGACATATTGCCAATAAATAAACAAATGAGGACTCTTGCAAAATGCACAAGAGAGTAGGATTATTAAACCATATTTTATTTTATGTTTTAATTTTCTTCTTGATGTTTTCAACCCACAATGTTTAATGTGAGGCATTAAAATGTTATGGTTAGTTCAGAATCATATTAACATTTAAATACTGTATGTATGTAGTCTAAAATGTATTCTTGGAAGTATTATGTATTTAAAACCTTTTTATATAATTCAAACTGATATTCAATGCAATAAATATAGATGGCACTCAGTTATCAATCCTTTTAAATATATCTTTACCATTTTGAAGGAGGTGGTTTTGCAACATTTTCTGTACTTTTGCGCTTGTGTTCTGCTTTAATCTCCTATTTATACTGATTTCAAAATAGATCCATTTAACTGTTGGCTACAATGCACAAATAGTCAAGATTAAACCTCACTATGGTTTGTTGAGTGCAGCAAAAGATAGCAAGTCTCATTTTGCTGAGGAGATTCTGGCTCTATTCAAAAGACAAAAAGGAAAAGTAATAATGTAGGATTAAGCAGATTTTAATTTCCCTTGTTTCGACCTTTGACTCTTTTACCTTTTGTATTGTCTCTTTTCTGTTTTGCCCCTTTTGCTACCTCCTTCTCTCCTGAATGTTGAAAAACTGTAAGGCTTGCAAAAACAGCTATGAAAATAACTTTTCTGACAATTGCCAGGAGGAGATTGAATCAAGGATCCTGAGCAAAAGGCATAAAAAAATCATTCCAAACTAGAGTTTTCCAGTAGTTAAAAAAGAAAACTGCATCCTGTCTTGCACCGTTTTCTTCTCCAGGCTCTATAAAACTCCAGTACAGACTCAAAGTCCTTTTCTGTCTTATGACTTTACTAAAAATTTACTGCTCTTCATTGAAGATGCTATATAAGCTGAAACTCAAAGCTTTTAGGAAGAGGGAAGGCAGAGAGCTTTCCTCCATTTTCTTCTTCTTAATTGTCTTCAGTTGAACAATCCTCCATATTTTGAACAGGCATATTCTGGTGTCCCACAGCACAAAAGTGGCATGATAATTCCTAACTCTAGTTTTCAATCTTGGGGTATGTGTACTTCATAATATATCTGAGAATCTTTAACAAAAGTAAACCTGATTTTTTTCATGTTAAATTTAAGAAATATTGATTTATATACTATGTTTCTACCATACTAAAGAGGAGACCTCTTCTCTAATATAATTACAGAACCAAAGAGTATTCCAACTCCAAAACATTTTTTGGTTTTAGTCACTGGAAGTTCTCACTTCTCAGATTGGCAAATGACTTCTTCTGAGCTTCTAAACAGTATCCCCAAAATGAAGCCAATGTAAGCAGCCACAAGTCTGCTGGGCAAAACAACAGCAGCAGCAGCAACAACAACAACAACAAAAACAAAAACAACAACAAAATAGGCATTATCTTTCAGCTTTCAGTCCTTTTACTGGTGCTTGGTGTTATATAAAATATGGCTTTCCACTGCTATTGTAATCAACAAGTCAACAGCTTTGACTTTCACTGCACAGACATTGCGGCTTGAGCATTCCTTGCTACCCAATAGGAATTTGTTTGCTGATGTCCTAGGAACAGGACAGAGGCAACTATTTCATCCAGGCTTTGGTCAGGAAACTAAAGAGGGAGTATAATTTTGCCAAGAAATCTACAGTTATCACTCAATTTATTATAGTGTTGCTCTCTGAGGAATGGCAGGATAAAATACATCTGGGAAAAGCAAAAGACAGTTTAATACAAAGGGAGCCCAGAAGGTTTCAGATCATTCCATTAAATCAGGGCTAGACGAGGGCCTTAGCATGAACACTGACTTCCAAAGAGGATGAATAATAAAAACAACTAAACTTTATGGAGCACTTACTATGTGCCAGACAGCAATTTATATGAGATAGGTTGTATTTATTTTTTAAGAGGTGAATAAACTGAGGAAAGAATGCAAGGTCACAAATCTAGGAAGTCTTTGAGCCAGAACTTAGACCTAGATGTTCTTTCCCTTCAGAAACCGTGATTAGATGTATTATTCCACATTATCTCTCGAGAATACTTGAAAAGGCTTTCTGTTTTTATTTGAAGCTGTATGTTTCACGTGTGTCAGTCAGAAGACTCTGTGAACATTAAGTAGAGTCTTTTGCCTTAGAAAAGGGGCACTTCTATGTTGGGCAAAAACTTTTTTACTCTGAACACAACTAGAATTCTTTACACTATGCCCCATGCCAATGAAAGAGATCGTGAACTTATTATAATGCCATACATAGCTCCTATACATCTCTCAGTGGTATGGATTGTGTTCCAGTAGCGAAAACAAAGGCATTTTCTATGCAGTAATGTTTTCGCCATGAGACCTACCCTTACTGTCTTGTTTTAAATTGCAGCCTGTGCTCATCATATACTCCAGGTCTTCACCCTAACAAAAGTCTCTAGGACAGTGAATAGAAATTCTGAAAGCCCTCTATTCAGGACCATGGTAGGACTGTACTGTACCAAACTTGCAAGTTCAGCTTGCCCATCTGATTTATTTTAGGCAATAATATATGAGCGCAAATGACAGGTAGCACTTCTGGCTGAATCCCTTTAATAGTCAACACTTAATTTACCACTTTCTCTAACTGCTGCCACAGGAACCAGCCTTATTCCAGATGGTTGAGTGAGTAACAGAGTCTTTGTTGTTAAAGACATTAAGATTTGGAGGATAGTTATATTAGCAAGACCTAACATCTTCTCACAAATATAATTTCTTTCTATATGCTATAGTGTATTTATAGACTATATAATATATATACACATATATATTTTCTTTTTTATCATATAACTTATTGCATTCTAACATACTGTACAAAATTTACTTTGTTGGTAAGTAAAGTAGTGAGTAAGCAGAAAGTAGTAAGCTTTAACCTATTATCAGAATATAAATTCCAGGATAAAAGGGGAACTTTTTCTATTTTGTTTCATATTGTGTGGCAAGCACTTAGAACATGATATGCCTGGCATATAGTAAGGGTTCAATAAGTCTTTGGAGAATGACACTATTCATAAATGATGTAAGTTTCAAAGATCATTAGGATGCGTAGGAAATGAAATTACTTGAACAATAAAGATAAATTAAGGATGTTTTAGTGATATGACAGCCCTGAAATTCCCTAATAATGGATTTATTTCAATGGGGGAGAAATTGGTTTCATACTTTAAGCAACAAGGCTCTGGGAGCTATACATAGGACATGCAGGATTCTCAGCTCTTTCAAAAATGTAGGGGAGATAGAGATTTAGGTTTGGATTTTATAGACCTATGGAGGACCTCTTGAATCAAATATTATTTGAATGAAAATGAGTTTAGTTTATGAAGTTTGTCAGATTCAATTTGAAAAGCAAATTACAAATTAAAACACACCCACTTCGTGTAATAATTTTTAAAAATAATCTTAATAGTTTTTTTAATTTCATAGTTTTTAAAAATTTACATTGCACTATCCACAAGCTTCATCTGAGATAGGTAAAATATAATTGAAATTTCAATATTTAGACTAATTATTTGTATTATTAAGAGAGGAATCCTAAGGCAGATGACCTTTTGATTAGAATAATCATAACTATCTTAAGCAAAGGTAGCTGGCATAGACTAGTCTAGAATGGAGGTTGAGAAGTAGATTACTTCAGGTATCAAGTAATAGGCTTTAGAATCTATTCTTGCCTAGCTAATCTCTTAGGGTCTGGGGGCCTTAGAACAGACAAGAGAGGAAGCAGTCAATATATAGTTTAAGGGAGAAAAATGGCCACTGAGGCACAAAATAACAGAAAGATTCAGAAAACTTAGAGAGCAATGATTTCTTAGTCTCAATTTTAAGTGGATTTCTAGTCCATGCTATTCTGTACTCTGCCTTATCACAAAGTCTTTTGCGCACATTCTTGTGTTGGTTCTACACTGAAGAAAGAAGGAGGCTGGTGAAGATGAAATGTGGAGTAACATGAGTGGAAAAAAAGATCAACAGTGATAGAGAAACAAGCAGGGACTCAATCTTTTTGGTGAACAGAAAGTCAGTGTCAAGGAGAACATAACATCCATGAGAGTCCATAAAAAATCTTGAAGACTCCAAATTTCCAAATTCAGGGTAAAAAAGTACAAGGTAAAGACTTACTGTTTAAATGAAATCTCTAGTAAGTAAAGTAAAATTCATTTACTCACCTGTTTTTAAAATTAGGGGGAAAAAGCTTTCTATACTCAGATAAAGAATATGACATACACCCAGGTGTGACATCCTTTATATGAATGCATAAAAGCTCAAAGTTAGATGTGAATGAAATTAAAACAATGTAAGCCCTTATTCTCTCATCCACTCAAATTTACCTCTGGAGAGGTAAACATAATTAAGAAATTTTAAATTTGCAGATTGGGTTCTGTGGAAAGCTGACTCTGAAAATGAGTTTTTTTGTATGAGAGTTTATGATCAACATCTGTGGAAGGAATTGAAGGATGTAGAATTGGTCAAAGATGGAAAGTGGGCTACAGTAAAATTTCAACCAAGGCTTCAGTAGAGCCCATGAAGAAATCTGGGATGATCTTTCACAGTTATTCCACATTGCAGTAAGGGGGTTAGGCCTTTCTATCCTAACAATGACCAGTCACTATGTGTGGGCCCTGTGATCTTAAGAAAAGCAAGAATCTTCAAGAAAAGACTGACAGCCCACAGCTACCAGCAAGCAGCCCAACTACAAGCTAAGAAGTGGAGGGAAATTCTTTAATTCTGAGCAAGGCTCTGGGCAATACATAACAACATTCATTAAAGTATCATCCTAAACATCTTATTTATGCATTTCATCATATCACATGACATATTACAATATAGTTAACACAATACAAATTAGCAAAATCATAGGTTCATTATACTCATTCTACTACATTTTTAAACACTAAGTCTTAGATCTTTCTTTAGTTTAACATACAAAATTTTTATCATTCTTTTAAACAATTACTTAGTTTTCCATAGTATTGTTATACCATAAATTTCATTAACTCTTCTTATAAGAATAAACATTTATGTCGTGTTCTAATATCTTCTATTAGAGGCAATGCCACAGTGAACTTAATTGTTTAGGCTTGCATATATACAGGGTTTTTTGTAAGTATGCATTCTTAGAAATAGCATTTCTGGATCACACATATGGACAATTGTGGTACATGATGCTAAATTCTCCTTGAATTTAGGCCAAAATTCCCCTTGAATTTAGGTCAAAAATAGGTCAGTTCACATGCCTTCGAGAGGTACATGAGACTGTGTATTTTCACAGCTCTACCAAGACTGTGTGTTGTAATTCTTTTTAGTTTTTGGCAATATGATGGAATATAAAAATATATTTTAATTTGAAGTACCCAAATTGATATGTAACTGAACTTAATTTCCCATTGTTGTACATAACTATTTGTTTTTCCTCTGAATCACCTGCTCACATCATTTGTCTGCCTATATTTTTTATTGTTCAACTATTTTTCTTGACATGCAGGCTTTATTTAAAGCTACTCTTTTATTTCTATTCAATATCTTATATTTTAATTTTTGTTTATGGAATCATAGGCCATAAGAATTTAAAACAAACAAAAATAACCTCAGTACACCAATACTAAAATCAGTGAATCAAACAGGAAAAATTATAAATAGCAACCCAAATATGTTTTTCCCTTTACCAAAATTTGGAATTCATCTCCTGTTAGTGATGTTATAGCAATACAGTGTCCAAGAAGGAAAGAAAGAAATCATGCTAGGTATTTCACACAGAGGGGATGCAACGTATTGAATTCTTTATAAACATGTTGATTTAAAGTTTAACTTTTCATTTGACAGTGCAAAAAGAAAAAGAAAAGGTGGGGAAGTCAAGGAGGTCCCACCCCTTGACTTCTCAGTATTATTTTCAGGTACTTCTTTGGTCAATCCTAGAAAAAAACTGTTCAACAAATTGTTGATCTTTAGTTTCCTCTCAATTTCTCTTTTGTTCCCCACTTATAGTATCAAAATATGTTCTTTTCCCTTAAACAAAATGTCTCTAGCAGTTTATTTCTGCCCTGAAGCCTTCCAATCACAGAAAGAAACAATCAAAAACCCATTTATCTTGCGAAGCTATTTGTAAGATAATGAGTCAGCTCTTTTCAACCTTGCAATCTTTTAAAGAACCACAATAAAAGGAAACTACTTAAATTCTCAAATTAATTTATTCTGGAGGAAATTGGGAAGCCATGTATGTATATAAGGTGGTATAAAAAACAGGGCAGACAGCAAGTATGTATGTTTGGGAGGGCAGTGCTTCAAATCATTCCACGTACATGTGTCATTTACTCCTCCCACAAAGATATAAAATGCAGGAAATCAACCCACAAAGTGTAGCCAGGTTTCCTTTTCCCCTGTGAACTGGAACACTTGGAAAAAACCAGCGTGTCTAGAAAAACAAAAGATAATGTTTTCTAAGAAAACAGTAACATGGTTTCAGCAGAAGAAAGCCATATGAGTGTGCTTAATGTTAAACATGGGAGCTAAATGTTCAATTCAAAATATTAGTTTTAACTGTTAGCCCTTTGTGCCACTTTGTGACATTAAAAATTTCATACACCTTTCAAGCCACAGTCTCTACATCAATAAAATGTGAAGATTTGACAAGTCAAGTGCCCAAATTCCTCTCAGATTTAAACGTTCTGTAGTCTATGATCCTGGCTTTCTAGGTCTTTAAGCAGTACAGCCACTCTCTTCAAAACCAGACAGCACCTCTCCCTCTGCTTTAGGGGAATTCAAGAGATATCAGATTAATGGGACACATTATGATTAGTAAGTCTAGAACATTGGAGTGCATCAAGTCATCTGGTGATTTTACAAAAAGACAAAAAAGCTCAGGCCCCTCCTTGAAAGTTCTGGGTCAGTAAATTTCAGTAAGGTCCCATATCCCTGCAATTTTAACAAGCTTGCCAGGTGTTTCTTATGCCTACCAAAGAACTACTGGTTTCAATTTTGGCATTTATATATAATCTCTGACCTACACAGTGGTCTAATTTCAACATCAAGGGGTTAGGATAGACTTGAGTGTTTTTTTCCTCTATAATTTTTCATATATATATATATTTGCTCTTACAGTAGAAATCCATTTAAGTAAACTGCACTACTGGAAAATTAGTCTTTTCAAACTGATAGACCTTTTGCTATCACAAATTATTGACTGCTCTGGATACAATTTTGTGATTTTGAAAACTCAAGGTGTAAAATACACTTTGCAAATCTCTCTGAGAAAGATTGCTTCAGAAGTTGAGAAGCAATCAACTTTTGCTGGGCACAGTGGCTCATACCTGTAATCCCAGAAATTTGGGGGGCCAATGTGGGAGGACTGCTTGAGCCCAGAATTTCACTGCTTGATCCCAGCTGCAGTGAGCTGGGATCACACCACTGCACTCCAGCCGGGGCAACAGAGTGAGACTCTGTCTCAAAAAAAAAAAAAAAATTTTGAGAAGTGCTGTGTGGGAGACTCCTAGCATAATGAGCAGAGAAGAGGTGCTGTCCAAAGTCACCATGGTGCCAGGATGATAGCGGTATCATTTGTATCATGGGATTTAAAATATTTGAGTTCAAACACTTCCTGAGAAAATACAAGAATCATTTTTAACGCTAATACTGAACACATCTTTGACTCTAAATCTCTCATTTTTTCTCCACTTACAAAGAAAGGAGCGTCCCTCCTCCTGAATAAAACCTAAGTAATCTGTCTCTGAATTTGATCCCATCCAATTCTGAATCCTTAGGTCCTTTTCCCATTCTCCCATCACAGACATTATAGCACCTTCCCATCTCTCCTTCATTTATGATGGTTTTTGTCTACTTTGAGATATGCACTGGTCTCCTCATCCTTTGTCAGATAAAAAATGACTGTTACCTGCATCTGCTGCTTCCTCTAATACACTCCTGTTCCTCACCTTCCTTTCACTACCAAACATTTCACATAAAAGTTCATGAATTACTTCACTCATCTTCTCCATAAAAACCAGCCTTCTTATTTATGTTATTCTGAATACCAAAATGCACAAAATCTAGTTCTCTCTCTCTCTTTATATATCTATACGTATAGGAAGGTAGATAAATATAGATATATCTAATTAGCTAAATCCAATGCCTTTTCTGCCTTCTTCACATTTCTTCACCTACTTTGTATTTTTGCTAAATATGTCACTATTCACCCACCCACTCTGATCAATGAAAATGTTAGTATTACTACAATAGCAAATAAACTGTGTTTCACTTGTCACTAAGTACAAAACTTTAGTGGCTTAAAATAGCATATGTGTTTCTCTCTCATGAAATAAGACCAACATGGGTTAGTTGTGGAATGTGGAAGAGAGGACTCAGCTCATCAACATTCAGGGACTCAAGATGGAAGAATGGTGACCTCTTGAATATTATCATTTACCAAACCAGATAAAACTCTAAAGTGTCTCACACCAATTATTAATTTCTTCAGCCTAGAAGTTGCACATGTCAAGTTCTCTCACACAATATTGTCCAAAATTACACAGCCCACCAAACCATAGATAGTCCAGGAAATGAGATCTCCCAGTTGCTTAAAAAGTAAAGAACCAGAAATATCTTGTGAGATGCATAATCCATACCACAAATATTTTTAAAAATCCTAGGCTTACTTAATACTAAATTAGTATGGTGTTCCACTTTGGTTTATTTTATATTTCTTCTTACACTGCCCCCACATACTGTAATAACCCTATATTCTACTCTTTCTGCACTAACACTCCTATAGACCTCACCAACTTTCATGTAGTTAATTATCTCTTCTATGTCAATAATTTTTAACCTATATTTTCAAATATTCTTCTACTACTTGTATCACTCAATAGCAGACAGGGTATGTGAAATAGGTCCTGGAAAGTGACTTCACTTTATGATGAAGTCACATTATTAAAAAGCTGTCCTATAACATCATAAGTTCCATAAGCAAAGGCTTAAGAATGAGAGCTCTTCAGTGGTAACACAACAGGAAATATCATCTTGGGATACAGGGAGATAGATGGCTACATCTTTCCCTTCAATTTTTCAAATAATAGACTGTATTGTATCTGATAAGAGAAGATTTATAATCAAATACAGCAAATATATTTCAGCACATACTGTGTGTCAGACTTTGTGTTAGGAGTGTTCACGTTTATTGTCTTGCTTAATCCTTACAGCAATAAAAGAATCTAATGATTTAAGATAAGAATATAGAGGTTTAATAATAAAGAGAATAAAATAAGTCTTAGGAAAAAGCAGAAATACTTTAGAACTTTCCACCCAATCTCATTCACAAGTAACTTTGTGATAATTACTGTAAAGGCAGAATGGTTTGAATACCAAGACCTCTGACTGTAGACATTCCTATTGCAGGCAACATTTTAAAAATTTCATTCGATGGATCTCATGATCTAGTAGTAAAATTGCTATGCAGCGTTTTAAACACAAAACTATAAATACTTTATGAATTATCTAAGAAATTTTCAAATTTAATTTCTACTATATGTGATTTTTTGGTCACCCCATCTCTGCAAGGTAACATGCAAATCTGTCACATATGTATACTTCCTGTAATTAGGACAACTAAGATTCCCACTTCCATACAGTGACATTGATTCATAACCTTTTTCTATAACAAAACAATGGCACTTTTTACATAATACCACAGTTATAACATAAGTGTGAGGAGGTAACTCTGTTACCTCCTCAAATATTTTTCTACTCCCACTAGCAGCCGCAGATAGAAATCCTATAAAACACAGTATTTTAAAAGAGACAAAGTGACAGCTAATATACCATAAATAAGGGGAGTCCATCTGTATAGAGGACCAAATATAACTTTCTGTCTGACACATTCCCACTACTCAGCCCTTCTGCAAATGCAGAGACAAGTTACTTGTTTCAGTCTTTAAAAAATGTGTCATTAACCCAGAAGCTTTGCCCTGTTCTTTTGCCTCCAATCTGCTTTATCACCATTTGCATAATTAGTCCATCTGAGTACTACTTTGTTGCCTGTACCCCCAGATCTATTCTACCAATGCCAGCAGGAGGACCAGAAGGGGCTCAAGGAATCATGCACTCTATCATTTTATAAAAGGAGAAGCTCTGGTTCTTAATTGATCATTACAGCAGTTACAGATGAAGGGATTGAACCCAACTGTGTGTTAACATTGTCAAAGGAACATGTAACTAGATTCTACCAGGAAAATTCAACAAAAGTTTAGCCTTTCCATTTTTAACTGTGGCTACAATTTTCAATGCAGTATTTTCAGGACAAAAATGTAGTCCCTAAAAAATGTTCTCCTCCTGTGTTGAGGGCTACAGAAATGAGTACTTTCAGAATATAGCAAATTTTACAGATGGCATCATGAAATACCGTATTTTCTCTTTCTTTTCATGCTATACTATGCTTGCCTCTTACTTACCTTACTGATCCTCTTTTATTTCTTTCTATTAACGTCTGTTCTATGGTTTCTTTTTATCCTGACAGTGTTTTGATATCTCCTAACTCAAAATTTTTGGCTAGTTCTCCTAACTTCTGTTCTTAGCTCTCTTCTCTAATGTAATATTTCTATAGTTGAGTCCACCAGTAATGACAGCCATGTTCAACAATTCTGAAACACAGCTGGGCGTGGTGGCTCATGCCTGTAATCCCAGCACTTTGGGAGGCCAATATAGGTAGATCACCTGAGGTCAGGAGTTCAAAACCAGCCTGACCAACCTGGTGAAACCCTGTCTCTACTAAAAATACAAAAAATTAGCCAGGAATGGTGGCAAACACCTGTAATCCCAGGTACTTGAGAAGCTGAGGCAGGAGAATCACTTGAACACTGGAGGTGGAGGTTGCAGTCAGCCAAAATTGCACAATTGCCCTCTGAAAATTGTTTCCATAGCCTTATAATCTGGGAGAAGCTGAGGTTAAAAAGTTTAAGAACATAATAATTAAGGTTAATAAATCTGGATAGGGTTAAACTTCAGCTCCATCACTTACTAAATATGTTTTAATTTCCTCTTACATAAAATGAGGATATGGCAACATAATTCATGTGATTATTGCAAAGATCCCATTAAAAATATTTGTAAAGCACTGAACACAGTGCTTGGCACATAGTGTTTACAGAATTTGAGGGCAAGTAACTTGATAAGTTTTGGATGGGTCCCCACTAAAATCTCATATTGAATTGTAGTTCCCATAATCCTTACATGTCATGGGAGGGACCTGGTGGGAGGTAATTGAATCATGGGGGTAGTTACCACCATGCAGTTCTCGTGATAGTGATTCTCATGAGATCTGATGGTTTTATAAAGGGCTTTTCCTCCACTTTGCTTTGCGCTTCTCCTTGCTGCTGCCATGTGAAGAAGGATGTGTTTGCTTCCCCTTCTGCCATGATTGTAAGTTTCCTGAGGCCTCCCCAGCCCTGCAGAACTGTGAGCCAATTAAACCTCTTTCTTTTATAAATTACCTAGTCTCAGGTATTTCTTCATAGCATCATGGGAATGGAACTAGTATAGTAAATTAGTACTGGGTAGTGGGGTGCTGCTATAATCATACCTGAAAATGTGTAAGAAACTTTGGAACTGGGTGACAGGCAAAGATTGGAACAGTTTGGAAGGTTCAGAAGAAGACAGAAAGATGTGGGAAAGTTTAGAACTTCCTAGAGACATGTTGAATGGCCTTCACCAAAATGCTGATAGTGATATGGACAATGAAGTCCAGGCTGAGGTGGTCTCAGATGGAGATGAGGAACTTGTTGGGAACTGGACTAAAGTCTCTTTGCTATGCAAAGTCTGGGATGCAGGGCATGAAGTCAATGCAAAGAGACTGGCAGCATTTTGCTTCTGCCTTAGAGATCTGTGGAAATTTGAACTTGAGAGAGATGATGTAGGGTATCTGGCAGAAGAAATTTCTAAGCGGCAAAATGTTCAAGAGGAAGCAGAGCATAAAAGCTTGTAAAATTTGCAGCCTGATGATGTGAAAGAGAAAAAAACAATTTTCTGTGGAGAAACTCAAGCTGGCTGCCGAAATTTGCATAAGTAATGAGGAGCCGAATGCTAATCACCAAGACAGTGGAGAAAATGTCTCCAGGGCATGCCGGAGGCCTTCACAGCCATCTATCCCATCACAGGCCTGGAGGCCTAGGAGGGAAAAAATGGCTTTGTGGGCCAGGCCAAAGGCTCTCCCGCTGTGTGCAGCCTTGGGACTTCAGGCCCTGCATCAGCTGCTTCAGCTCCTACTATGGCTAAAAGTGGCCAGTGTACAGCTTGGGCCATTGCGGTAGACGGTGCAAGCCCCATGCCTTGGCAGCTTACATGTGGTGTTGGTCTTGCTGGTGCACAGATGTCAAGAATTGAGGTTTGGGAACCTCCACCTAGATTTCCCAGGATGTATGGAAACACCTGGATGTCCAGGCAGAAGTTTGCTGCAGGCACAGAGCCCTCGAGGAGAACCTCTGCTAGGGCAGTGCAGAAGGGAAATGTGGGGTCAGAACTCCTAGACAGAGTCCCCACTGGGGTACTGCGTAGTGGAGCTGTGAGAAGATGGCCACCATCCTGCAGAACCCGGAGTGGTAGATCCACTGACAGTTTGTACCATGTGCCTGGAAAAGCCCCAGACACTCAATATCAGCCTGTGAAAGCAGCTGGGAGAGGTGCTGTACTCTGCAAAATCACAGGGTGGAGCTGCCTAAGGCCACAGAAGACCACTTCTTGCATCAGCATGAGCTGGATGTGAGACATGGAGTCAAAGGAGATCATTTTTAAGCCTTTATGATTTGACTGCTCTGCTGGATTTTGGACTTTCATGGGGCCTGTAGCCCTTTCATTTTGGCCAATTTATCCCACTTGAAATGGGTATATTTACCCAATGCCTATACTCTCATTGTATCTAGGAAGTAACTAACTTGCTTTTGATTTTACAGGCTCATAGGTGGAAGGTACTTGCCTTGTCTCAGATGAGAGTTTGGACTTGGACTTTGGGGTTAATGCTGGAATGAGCTAAGACTTTGGGGGACTGCTGGAAGGGCATGATTGTGTTTTGAAATGTGACGACATGAGATTTGGGAAGGGCCAGGGGCAGAATGATATGGTTTGGCTGTGACCACCCCCCCCAAATCTTATCTTGAATTGTAGCTTGCATTATCCCCATGTGTCATGGGAGGGACCCAGTGGGAGGTAATTGAATCATGGGGGTGGTTATTTCAATGCTGTTCTCATGATAGTGAGTGAGTTCTCATGAGATCTGGTGATTTCATAAAGGGCTTTTCTCTTTTTACTCAGCACTTCTCCTTGCTGCTACCATGTGAAGAAGAATGTGTTTTCTTCCCCTTCTGCCATGATTGTAAGTTTCCTGAGGCCTCCCCAGCCCTGTAGAACTGTGAGTCAATTAAACCTCTTTCCTTTATAAATTACCCAGTCTCAGGTATTTCTTTATAGCAGCCATGAGAACAGACTAATACATAACTCTTGTGAATTTTGAAATTCAGTTAAAGAAATGTTTCACTGCCTGAAATAAAGTGGCTCTCTCTGCCATCTAAACTTTTAAATTACTTAGTACTACTGGAATATAACAGAAGATTCATGCCTTTAACAGGGATGAAGCAGGAGAAATCAGTCAGAGGAAAGGAGGGTTGGTAAACTTGATCTTTGCCATCTGTTCAAATTGCACTGAGTATAGTGAATCTTTTTAACAGAAGTCATTTTTCATCTACTGTATGTGGCTTTGGCAAAAGTAGTTTATTATTGTTTTAGCTTTACACCATAGACCCAAGATATGAATAGTGGGAAGGAAATATTATTACAGCTTGGTTCCCCTGTATTCTCTAGAAGATCACTAGAATATTGATTTCCTTTTGGCCTGATTCACTGTACAATGGTTTTATATGGGTGGGTTGTAAGAAACAAGAATTTATATATATATATATATATATATATATATACACACACACACACACACACACACACACACACACACGCACACACACACACATATATGCATATATAATTATACACATACAATTTCCTGTCTGTTTATTATCCATAATAAACACCTATTTTTATTATTTCAAAATAAATTACATTGAGATTTCTTGATTTGCCTGGAGAAATAAGGACAAGGTGCCTAGCTAAAATTAGAATTAAATGACTGGATTTTAGAGACAGGAATACGAGCTTGACTAGGTCCCAACTTACACTATATTCAATTTAAAAATCTAAGAAATGGCAAAAGCAATTCAACACATTTCTAGAAATTAAATGGTAAAGCCTAAGAGTGAAGGCTGAAACAATGCTACTGAATTAAGCTGCTGCAATCATTATGTACCTGTGGTTCCCAATTTTAATGTATTTTCACTGCATCAGGAAAACTTCCAGAAGACTAATAAAGGTGTTAAGAAGTAAAGCTAACTCCGACATACAGTCTCCCTGGCAATATATTTTTGTATTTTGTTTTGTTGTAATGCTGGTGACACTCCAGTTTGGTGCAGCCACAGGAACTGACATTTTCCAATCACTCTGGCATTTACAGCCCCCTCTTCACTCCGCATCCCACTGGGATCCTCCTCCTCAGAACTCACCGGCAAGGCTCGGCCTGCCTTCGCCACTGCCAGTCTTGTTTCATTTTGGTTTGATGAGTGGAGGTGCAGAGAGGGTGAGAGTGTTGTAACTAAGGACAGAAGTGAATGATAGCACATTTGTATTACGCAGCCACCCTTTTCTATTCCCAACTGAAGATCACCCTTAGGGATATGTGGTTTAAAAAGTAGCTGAGAGAAATAGCCAAAGGAAGAGGAAAATGGATGCGAGAAAGAACGTGAAACGAGCCTTCATACCACTCTCACTCCAGTCTCCCTTTCCTCTATTGCAGTTTTTCTCTTCTCTATGCTGATTTTTACTCCTCAGACAACTCTATTCCAGATTCCTTGTTTCTTCATTTGTGAAGCTCATCTTCATCTCTGCATGTCCTTGTCTCTGTCTTACTCGAAGCCAATCTCAGGGCCATGCCCCTATACATGTTTTTATTAATCCACCCTGAGTAATATGGTTGGTAAAATTCAAAGTGATCAAAAATGCCCTTTGGGATTGCATATATAATGTGAATTCCCTTGCTACTTTATATGACTACATGAGAAAGTTTGAACTCTCTGAAATAATGATAGGGCACTATAAAATGCACGGCGTTATTAATATAATCATATTTTTTCATGTTATAAGTACCAGAAATAGCAGGTGTCTGTATTCTGCTAACAAGCTCTGTAGCTACACATGCTGACATACTGGGAGTTCTAGAGGCAGTTCTAAATAAGTATAAAAATGCAACAAATGGCAAACCATTTATTAATCTCTTTAAGCTAAATTTTTTTCAAGTTATTTTTACAGTATCTTTTAAAACAAAATCCCATATGAAAGTAAATAAATTCTAAAAATTATAAAGCCTAGAATTTCACAGCATTGCCCAAATAGTTATGAGCTTTGTCCATATGTCAGTAGAGTTACAGTAAACTTAGTGATTAAGTTTTTCACTCAACACATTTCCAATAATTGCTTTTTCTGGATAGTGCACTGTACTAAATCCTATGGGAGATACACAAATACATAAACAATAGTCCTTATGCTCTAGAATTTTAAAGTTTGGTTATAATGGAAAGCGTATAGTCAAATAAACCCACAGATGAATGTCAAATAAATGAAGCACATAATGTATAGTATAGGAATTTAGAGTAGGAACAAATCCTTTTTGGAGAAAATGATTGTAGAAGTTAAAAGGAGCAGACAGCATTTAAACTGGACACTGAAATAAAATTCTACTTGGCAGAAAATTGAAGAGGTGATTAAAATAGCAATAACAACAGCAATTTTAATAATAATAACAACAAAGCAATCATGATGAAGTTCATTTTTGGAGCATGTCCTATATAATAATTTCAATGTTAACCCTTTATCTGTCTTATTTCATTTAATATTCAAAACAACCCGATGAGCTAGGAACTATCATTATGCTATTTTCAAAGATGAGGAAATTTGAACTTAGGGGAATAAAACAATTGGTCAAGAATATAGGGAATATAAATAAAAAGACCATAGTTTGAAAATAGGCTATTGTACAACATTCAAGCAAATGTACTGGTTCCAGTCTGTTTGTCTTAGATTCATTCATTGTTCTTTCTTGTCTCTATTTTGTGTCACATGATAGCAGACCCATACATGCAGCTTACTTTTTACCAGATTCAGCCAAATAGAGACACTGATGGGATATGACGGGTTAGAAAGAAGCTAAGAGATTTCTCTCCATTGTCTCTCTACTTTGGTTACCTCTTCCAGCAGCCACTGTGTAACCTCCCTGGCTCTACTATGTGTGAGACAAAACACGTATGGTCCAGTATTGACCAGGTTATCTGGCCCTGGGCTCCCTCACAATCTTCTCCTTAACTGTCCAGTATAGGAGTTGATTGAAGTAGATTCCTGTTCTTGCTAATCCCTCCATTATCCTGCTAGCCCTTCTTTACTTCTCAGCAATTTCATCACTGGTGCTACTAATTTCCACTATCAAACTCCCATTTGTAGAGACTTGATGTGATTTCTATTTTATTTTTATCTATGAGCAGGTACAATAAAATAAAATTTCAAAATATATTTAATAGAAAGGACACAAGCAAAGATTTCAAAGTGAGGAAATAGTAGCCACATTTACAAAGCTAATGGACTAGTTTTATTGGAGTAGGGAACTCAGGAAGTGGAATTCTGAGAATGAGTTTTGAAGGTACAAGATGGTGGATGAGTTTGAATGGTGGGGTTTATGCAACAGGAAATACAGAGTGATTCAAAGTTTGGAAAGAGTAATCTGAAATTCAGCAGTATGGGTTTGGTGAAGGAATGATGTCAAAGAAAAACTGCACCAAATTGAGTAAACGGGCAAGGAAGAATATTGCAACAGGAGTCAAGATGATTACAAAAGGAAGAGAGATTGCACTCAACTCTGCTGATGTAGAAAAATGGGAGAGATGTTAAGTGCCAAAGATAGCTAGTGGAAAAGAACTGGAGGACCTCAGGGAGGAAGTTGGTCAATGTGATTAGGCCATCTGTGTGTGCTAATTGATGCTTATCTAAGTTAGGCTCCTACCCTCCCACAGAGACTGAAAATAGGGGTGCTATCTTTCTTGATGTTTACATTTCAAAGGGATGGCTTCCAGGTCCTTGAGAAAGACATTCCTGGGTTATAAAAGTCAGAAGACGCTGGGGGATTTATATCTCAGAGGGGCAAAGAATTTACAATTGTACTTTTTCTAAAGTAAATGCCTTAAGAAAAGAAAGGTCAGGGACCTACAGTCAAGAAGAAACCTGTCTAAAATTTAGTCAAGCTGAGGAGAACATTAAGGACATCTTGATCAGTGAATAAAATTAAGGAGACCAGTAGAAGGTCATATAAGGTCATAATCTAAAGGTGTAGCAGAGAAAATGTGTAAAAATAATCAACAGAAATTGTCTGCTGGTTAGATATAGGTCAGGAAGAATAAGAAAGGGCAAATACAAGGTAAACTCAACTATTTTTCTCAGAGGGATGTGGCTTTAATATAAATGAAATAAGTGGAAATAATAACCCATTGGTATAAGGGGAAAGCCAATTGAATGGATGACCAATTCGAATTACTAGATTGATAATAGTCATTAACCAGTCGAGGACTAGCAAACCTCCAACAACATTTATTAGATGTATTTCTGTCTGAGAGAATGGAGAAATATTAATTATTTAAATGTAACCACTACTTTGTTTCCATGTGGTTTTTAAAAACATATTTTGAAGACAAATAATGGGAAAGTAATATGTATCACTAAAACCTTGAAGTGAATAACATAATTTGATCCTATTTTTATCTTTCTCTAGGTAAAGGAGAAAAAAAAAAAGATAGGGACGAAATAAACAAGAATGAGGTGATGTTTGCCCACATTGTGGGTCAATGTTTTCATATATTTATCTCATGTAATTCTCAAACAACCATGAAGCATGAAGAAGATATTATCTACCCTATCTTCAGATTAAACTTTGTTTACAAGGTAACAACCAATTGCAGAGCTGCCTTTGAATCTAAGTCTACCGAACTTCAAGATCTATACTCTGTTTGCTACAACAAGGTGCTTGGGATAAGTAGACTTCAATGAGCAGAGAAATTGATTGGAACTTGCATGAAATGATGACAAGTTTTTCTGATCAAAGGCCTTTGCTCTGCTAATGCATCAAATTACAGGTGGTTTCCTCACAAACACTCAATTTTTGCAGAGCTATTCACACTTCAGGTGAAAGTATATTTTTTTTTCAAGGATTAACCATTATTATTGGCTTTTCATATGTTAACTAAATCCATGCTGTTGTTGGAGGCAGTGCTACAGTTTGATGTGCTTGTTTGCCATGATGCAACTTGGTCGCCCTCTGGAGGCTATTTTTAGGATTGACTAGCAAGTCTTAATTTTGAAGAAAGGTCTTAACAATTTAACAACTCATTTTAAAGGTGTGGAAATTATGTATATATCATACTTAATTTTAAAGTTTCAAAGCATTGGGTCCAAAATATTGAGAGACTATTTTAAAATGTTCAATTTAACATTTTATGGCACAGAATATTTGGAATTTCACTTTCCCTTTGGAAATACAGATGGTCATGATTCCCTTTTCATCATGGAAAATCTATCTATACTGGGGTTCTTTTTTTCTTCCCCACTAAGAACACAAGGGCAATTAGCTCTATATAATAAAAAATAAACTATATGATATAATATTTTTCACTTTATTGGAAACAAAATCTGTGGTTTTAGGTACAGAAACCCATCTCTATATTTCCAGATTATTTGTATTTTCCTTTCTACCAGAGACAAAAGATGACAGCTTACAAAGATCTTTCTAAACAGAATGTCTTGAAGGATAAAAATGTTTTGTTCCCTAGTTCGTTCTTTTCAGTTTTTTTGTTGAAAGAGTATTATTCCAGTTAGTGAAAAATATACAGGCAAAGTGTTTTCCATATATTTATGACAGCTGCCATGACTTAGCTATAACTATTTTTCACAAAGTAAGCAGTTATGAGTTGCAACTTTAAACCTAGTGATTCTTTATTTGATTAAATGAATGTCAGCTTTTAAACAAATGAGCAGATGGAGAAGTCAGCCTCAGTCACTATTTGGAGTACATCATACAACCAGAGTTGTATAAAAGTCCTGTAACATGAATTTGTTATGGAGGTCTCTCCAGTCTCCTGAGACCATTTCACACTGTTTCTCACTGTGACTTTATATTCCATTGCTAAATGTTTTAGTGCAGTGTTTGAGACCCTGAAATATTTATTTTTTTAATTTTTAAATTTTATTTATTTATTTATTTATTTATTTATTTTTTGAGACGGAGTCTGGCTCTGTCACCCAGGCTGGAGTGCAGTGGCACGATCTCGGCTCACTGCAAACTCCACCTCCCGGGTTCATGCCATTCTCCTGCCTCAGCCTCCCGAGTAGCTGGGACTACAGGTGCTCGCCACCATGCCCGGCTCTTTTTTTTTGTATTTTTAATAGAGATGGGGTTTCACCGTGTTAGCCAGGATGGTCTCGATCTCTTGACCTCGTGATCCGCCCGCCTCAGCCTCCCAAAGTGCTGGGATTACAGGCGTGAGCCACCGCGCCTAGCCGACCCTGAAATATTTAACAAGACAAATACATAATGCTTACTACATGGCTTCCTTATATCACTCCTCAGTTATTTCCTTGTAACAACTGGACACAGCCCCAGGGCCCTATCCAGCAGAAAGGTGGTGTCAAGCACTGCGTGTTGTATTCTATGATCTTTGGCCCTCCAATTGCCTTTTAGCCACTTTCTTGACACCTCAACACATGTTCCAGCAGAACATTTCTTAAGGCACAGACTTTTAGGGAGTCTTGAATCCATGCTGGAAATGGAGAGGGGAGAATGGAGGAAGAGAAGGGAAAAATACAGGAAAGACAAACACAAATATTTTTTATAAATCTTTCAGCCACAAAAATTATAGGCACCATGCAGAGCAAGTGGGGAAATTTAGATTCATGCATTAATTTACCAATTAGAATGACAGATAAGAGTGAATAAAGAAGTATCTAAGAGGTAAATTGGATAGGATTGGCAATTGATAGGATATAGTGGATGATGAGAGAGGGTGAAGTCAAAGTTAATGGCTAGACTTCTGGTTTATATAACTGAATGAATGGTGCCACCATACACTAAGACAAACAAAGATGGAGCAGGACAGATTAGAGGTTGCGGGAGAGCATGCATATGTTGAGTTTTATGTTTATTTAAAATAAACAGGTTGAGATGTTAAATAGGTACTGGATATACAGAATTTAAAACTGAGGTCTTGGATACAGCAGGTCCTCAAATAACGAAGTTTAATTTAACATCATTTAGTCATAAAGTTGATGAGAAAAAAAAATTAACTCCCACCTGAGGCCACAGTCTACGTGGAGTTTGCACATTTTCCCCATGTCTGTGTGGGTTTTGGCCTCATACTCTGGTTGCTTCCCACATCCCAAAGCTGTGCACATTAGCTGAATTGGCATGTCTACATGGTTCCAGTTTGAGTGAGTATGAGTGTGTGAGTGAGTGTGACCTACGATTGGATGGCTTCCCTGCCAGGGCTGGTTTTTGCCTGGAACCCTGAGATGCTGGGATAGGTTCCCATCACCCACCATTCTGAAATGAAATAAGCAGGATGGAAAATGAATGAATGAATGAATGAATGAGTACAAATTATTGTCAAGTAAAAATTTGTTAAGTACATGACAATCCTACAAATGCACATTTATTATCATGCCAAAAGTGCTCAGGGAGCATGCTATATTTCCTATTATTTGTTTTTGAACTTTATGGTACAAGGGGGTACTCCTGAAAATTTTCACTTTGCAAACATTTATTTCATAATTTAACCCATCACTGCTGTGACTGCCATCATTCACTGATTCACCAAAAAAAAAAAAAAAAAAAAAGTGGATCACTAACTATCTTACTTGATTTTATCAATTTAACTTAAATGTATGTGTAGCTCACATTTATTTCAATGTTTAATATTAGAAGTGTTTTTGTTTTTTATTTATAAGTTTGGTGATGGTTTTGTTACCAAAAATAGTCCATTAGAACTTATCTCTTATTTATATCTACTAGCCTATGGAAAAATTGGTTTCATTATGCATAGTTTTGCTTAAAGTCAGAGTTTTCAAAAATCTATCCACAATGTTAAAAGAGGACTTATTGTACATGTATGTCCAATTTTCATGGGGGTGGAAATTAAAGCTGTGGAAAGAATTTATATTTCCATAAAATATCTTGATAATTTTATAGAAACCCACATATTTTATGCTACTAAAGTGAGAGAATATAATAGTCTAGAATTGAATTTTGAAAAATTTCAACACTTAATGTTTGGAAAGAAGATGTATCTGCAAAAGAGATGGAGATTGAGCAACCACAGAGATAAGCGAAAACCAGGAGAGTCTTAGCCCAAGGAAAATTAAACTTAAAAGAGGGAAGCAAATTCTACTTACAGATCAAGTAACTATAAGATTGTATCTTTTAGTTTATTGAGGACATAGAGCCCCAAGGCCCAAGCCAACAAGAATAGGAGATCGAGACCATCCTTGCCAACATGGTAAAACCCTGTCTCTACCAAAAATACAAAAAATTAAGCTGGGCGTGGTGGCACGTGCCTGTAGTCCCAGCTACTCGGGAGGCTGAAGCAGGAGAATTGCTTGAACCCGGGAGGTGGAGGTTGCAGTGAGCCGAGATTGCGCCACTGTACTCCAGCCTGGCAACAGAGCAAGACTCCATCTCAGGAAAAAAAAAAAAAAAAAAAAAAAAAAAAAAGAAGATAATATCTACCCATTGCTTCTATGAACTTGGAAATTAGTAATAAACTGTTTTTTATTGGAGTGGTAAAGGCTGGATTCTGTTAGAAGTAGACTAAAGAATGAGTAGGTGATGAAGTGAAGATACTGAATACAGAAAAAAACATTTCTTAGGAATTGAAAAATTATGGTTTTGAAAAAGAGGAGAGGGGAAAGATAATCAAAGCAGAGGATGTGTGGAAAAATGGTGAGTTTGATTTTGCATTTCTTCTTTGTTTTATTCTTCTTTTTAACCGTTTTTTCCCTAATTTGGAAGATGTTTTAATGCTAATGGAAGGGTGAGAAAAATATATTAAATAATATAAGGATTCTGAGAAGGTAGAAGTAGATGTAATCCAAAGCAGGATTGAAGAAATTGCCTTTAGTATAAACAGGGCTTTTGTTCTATTAAATGACCAAAGGGGATAAAGATGGGAGCAGAGCTGGTAAATGCATTATGTTCACTAACAGAAAATTTCCTCTCTAATGTCTTTTATTTTCTTTTCTGTGAATTAGAAGAGATTATCTCCTGATAGTACAGCAAATGGTGGGAATATAGACAGTTAAAGATAGTGTGGAATGATAGAAAAACACATTGTAAAGAATGTAATGACTGTTCCTGATAAACGAAGCAGAATTAAAGGTCAATATTGAAGGATCTTTGATGTCACTGATCATGAATTTATAAAGGAAACAATCTAAACCTTTATGTAATTTTCTCAGGTAGCCTTTTAAAGGTAGAGGTCAAAAAAAGTGAAAGCAGTGGTTTCGGGTTTATCCATGTTTGGATACAATGAAAAGACACTAGAGCAAGGGAGTTTAGAATACAATCAGAAATAATAGGCATTGGAATCTAAAATAATAAGGAAGGATGTAAAGGCAATATTAGGAGAAAATAAAGAAGAAAATAGACTTGTTTCAAAGTACAATCATGGTACAGCTGCGATTTGAACAACTAAACTGGAATGTGAGAAGTTTGTTTCAAGGGCACGCTTGTGTTAATGATTTGGGAGGTGGAACTGTATAATTTTTGTTTGTTTTTGTTTTAAGACCATGTCTCCATCCCTTTTCTCTGATTTTTATTGTAGAGGATAGCCTCACAAAATTGAATTTTCCAGTATGCCTTGACAATAAGCTTCCCATTAGGTTTGACCAAAGGGAAGCACTGATGAGATAATGGAAGGAGGGAATAAAGGAGAACACAGAATGCCCTCCTTTTTTAATTTTTTTTTTTTTGAGATAGGATCTTACTCTGTGCCCAGGCTGGAGTGTAGTGGTGTGATCATGGCTCACTGCAGCCTTGACTCCCTGGTTTCAAGTGATCCTCCTGCCTCAGCCTCCCAAGTAACTGGGACTACAGGTGCATGCCATCATAGTTTTGTTTCGTTTTGTTTTCACTTTTTGTAGAGACAGGGTCTCACTATGTTGCCCAGGATGGTCTTGAATTCATGGCCTCAAGCGATCCTCCCACCTTGGCCTCTCAAAGTACTGGATTACAGGCATGAGCCACTACGCCCGGCTTGCCCTCCTTCCTTGAGGGGCATAGACATCTACATCTGAGGCTTTGTCTCCTTCATGGGTACAATTCCTGTTAGAGATTTTCTCCCTCTATATTACCAGAATCACCAGCACCCATTCCAATTTTGCTTAGGGAATTCCCTCTTGCCAAACTCTGAGTAGCCTCCTTATCCCCATTTTGACTCTTTCGCTTTGCCAATCTTTGAAAAGAAAAGGTTATTGTATTAAAATGTGCTTTCTAAACTTCCTGAAGCAGACCATCCGTCCTTCCTGAACTCTAATTGATTAGTCCCAGGAAACAAACCTTCAAAATAAGACTACAGAATTGTTGTTTATCTCTTTGAGCTTGAATGTAGTAATGACCTCAGTACCAATGTAAAGAAAACAAGCACTTCTTCCAACCAGTGGAAGCATGATTATTTAAGTTACCACCAGTGTTTGTTTTGGATAAATTGCCAGTCAAATAAAATCCTTTTGGAGGTCAAGTGTCTACTGTGTTCATTGTGGTAATAATATCTATAAGCACTGTGGGGTACATTAGCTGCTTCTGACAACACCAGAGAGCTTACAAGATGCAAATGATAAGTTGAGTGTTAAACCTCTCAGATCAACGCATGGGAAGAGACATAGACAGCCCCTATGAGGGACTTAAATGTTTCTCAGGTTTTGTAGCCATAGAGCAGACATGGCTGAGGATCAAGCTTCAAATCTAAATTTGTGGGTTGCAGAATTAAAATAAAAGCTCAATGCCCATCTTTGTATTGAGTCTCATAGATTAACATCAGGACATCGATCAAGAAAAAATTCAGTATTAAAGATTTAAGGTAAGGACAGGCAGGCAGACTAAGATTAATATGAAAACTTTTACCTTAAAACTTCCTGACGTTTCCTTGACAGTGAAAACAAACCTTCATCTCCCAACCCCAGTCTGAGGAAATTCAGCAATGTCTTTTGCTAAACATACTTCTAAAGACCTTTTCTGGAGTACTTAATTTTCAAAGAGTGTCTACTTTTCTCAAGACCCACTCACATTAGCACTTATTTTTTCCCAGCCTGTAACTATTCAGAGAGGAGAAAGAAAAAGAAATCTGTCAAGCAGACAGTTGGGATGGGTCCTTGGTAAAACTCCTTCAAACAGAAAAACACCCAGAAAAATCAAAGCTACAGGCACAGATAGAGCAGCCTGGGGAAAAATCAAGTTACAGTTGCACTAATAAGGGAGCAAGGCCCAACATAGAAACGTCTCTGTTCTTTGTGTAATCAGTGGGATCCCAGGAAAAAGTTTCCTCCCTTTTTCAGGCATGTACATGGTGGGCTCCATGGGAACTTGCACAGGGGGGTGGGGGCTTACCTAAAACACACAGTTGCATAAACAAGAGAAGCTGCATTTTGTACTTGCCTAAGAGATGCCCGCAGCTGCACAGATAAAGAGAGTTACAGACAGCTACACAGATAATGGAAGTTACACAAACAGCTACAAAGATGAGGGGAGTTTCTCATACAAGCTTTTGGATTCAACTGTAAAAACGACAACCCTCTTTCAGGCCCCCTCTCCGCTGTGGAGAGCTTTCTTCTTTCACTTATTAAACTTTCGCTCTGGCTGGGCGCGATGGCTCACACCTGTAATCCCAGCACTTTGGGAGGCCGAGGCGGGCAGATCATGAGGTCAGGAGTTCAAGACCAGCCTGGCCAAGATGGTGAAACCCCATCTCTACTAAAAATACAAAAATTAGCCGGGCATGGTGGTAGGCGCCTGTAATCTCAGCTACTCAGGAGGCTGAGGCAGGGAATTGCTTGAACTCGGGAGGCAGAGGTTGCAGTGAGCCGAGATTGTGCCACTGCAATCCAGCCTGGGTGACAGAGCGAGACTCTGTCTCAAAAGTAAAAATGAATAAAATAAAATAGAGCATATAATGTGAATTTTTCTCCAAGTCCTCCTCAAAGTGGTTTGTAACAATTTTCTAGGGGGATTGTTTAACAAGAAAAGGGGGAAACTCAGAATTTTTCAGAGATTATTAAGCTAATTTCACATATCTGAGGTTCAAAAACATCACTGTGATCTTCAGGTCATAGTGGGGTTTATGGAGGTCATATGATAATTGGAGACTTGATATAAATTCACCTCACTATAACGTCTGTGGATTCAGTAAGCTACACTATATTTCCCCATGCCTGAATGCATTGTTGGAGACATACTTAGAAAAAAGAAAACAAAATTCTCATCCATAGCAAGAGCTATTAAGATGGAAAGGGCCATCACTTCACATCAATTAGAATGTCGATGATTTAAAAAAGAAACAGAATACAATAATAAAAATAACAAGTAGTGATGAGCATGTGGAAACATTGTAACTCTTGTGCATTACTAGCAGGAATGTAAAATGGTACAACCTTTGTGTAAAACATTCGGAAACTTCCTCAAAAAAAATGAAAGACAGAATTACCATATGATCTAAAAATTCCTTTCCAGGGCATGTACCCAAAATAATTGAAAGGAAGGACTCTTGACAGGTATTTATAGACATCCATATTCACAGCTTCATTATTCACAATACCAAAAAGGTGAAAATGACACAAAAGTCCATCAACAGATTAATGCATCAACAAAATGTGGTATATGCATACAATGGAGTATGATTCAGCCTTAAAAAGGAAGAACATTCTGACACATGCTATGGCATGGATAAACCTTAAAGACATTATGTTAAATGAAATAAGCCAGAGACAATAGGACAGGTATTGTAGGATCCCACTTACAGGAAGTGTCTAGAGAAGTCAAATTCATAGAGACACGAAGTAGAATGGTGGCTGCCAGGATCTTGGGATGGGGAGAATACAGTGTATTGTTTAATGGGTATGGAATTTCAGTCGGAGAAGATAAAAAAAAGCCTGGGGATGGACTGCAGTGATGATTGCTCAACATCGTGAATGTACTTAGTGCCAGTAAACTGTATATCTAAAAGTAGTTAAATAGTAAATTTTATGTAATGTATATTTTACCACAATAAATAAAGATAGGGCCAAGTGGGAGCCGCTGTAACTGCCCATCCAATTCAAAATAATACATATTATTTTAAAATGTAACACCACCTCTCTGGGGAATTTGCAGAGACTAAAATAACCATGCAGATGGTAAGCTCTGTTGCCTGGCCCATTTAAGTAATCTGCTTGGCTTATAAAGAAAGTTAAATGGATTAAGGACAATGAAATGATGATCATAAAGTAATGAGGTGGCTTTTCTAAAAAAAAAAACTATTGGGTTTTATGTTTTTTGGAGGCATTTTTTATTTTGGGGGGCAACTTAAGACAGTGCTAGCTGCTGCTATACAGCTATTGACCTGGAAAATGCTCTTTGTCTCCATATCAATTAGTAATCATGATGAGAGGTAGTTTATGTTAACCTGACAAAGATAGAAGTACACTTAAACTTTGTTTGGCTTTCTCACGGGCTGTGCCAACTCTCCTCATCTCTATAGCACTATAGTCCCTGGGGAGATTAATCACCTGGATGTCACGAAAATATTATGGTAGTTCATTATATTGATAATATTATTATGACTGGATGTGATGAGAAGAGATAGAAACTGCCTGAGATATGTCAGTAAGACACATACATGTCAAAATGTTGTAAATAAACAACATGAAATTTCAGAGTGTCGAATATATCACAACCTCAGTATGATAATGCATGCAGAAACAAACTCCAGAAAGCACTGAAGATCAGTGCGGATTTTGTCTTTTGGGGGGAGGCATCACACAGCACACAGCTAGGCTTCCAAAATATTCTTTTTATATATCCCCAAAGTCCCATTCGTGCTAATTGCTGCTCTTTACTTTTAACTCCTCTTTAATGTACTCACTTGCCCTTTGTTGTTCCCCATTCTTCTTATTCATCTGCCCTCTTTCATCATTTCTCATTGAGAATAGCCTGGGCCATTCTTTATATCAGCCTCTCTCTCTCTTACCCATAGCCCGTCCCCCAAAAAGGCTCTGTGCTACTTAAGTAAGTGGATACCTCTTTTCCTCAGAAGATTGCAGAGGGAAAGGGTGCGGGTATATAAGAAAGCCTGATAATTTAAATCTCTATTGGTTCCCATAAATATATTACATCTTAAATAAATTCATACATGCAGTAACCACACAAATCAAAAATGTTCACAAGCTACCAGACTGTCAAATTATATATGATATGCAAAATCACATACACATACTATCTGATTTACAGGTTTTTTTTTTTTTTTGGAAGGACCCCGGGGGTTTTGGGCAGCAGCAGGAACCATGTAAATGAGAGCTCTATAATTCTATAATATCTAATTAGCACTGACAGTCTCCCCAGCATCAGCCATATCCTCACTCCACAGGCTCTGCCATGGTGAGAGGGCATCAGTCTAGTGAACTGCTGGTCGGCCTCAACCCAACCAAGCCCTTCACTCTGAGATGTCACTAGAGCTCCTGGTTACTTTTTTTCCCCCTAGATTATTGGGGAACAGGGGTTGTTTGGTTACATGAGAACTTACTCATGATTTACAGTTTCTTTCTTTCTTTCTTATTTTTTTATTTTTTATTTTGAAACGAAGTTTTGCTCCTGTTGCCCACGCTGGAGTGCAGTGGTGCGATCTCGGCTCAACACAACCTCCACCTCCCGGGTTCAAGCGATTCTCCTGCCTTAGCCTCCCTAATAGCTGAGATTACAAGCATACACCGCCATGCCTGGCTAATTTTGTATTTTTTTTTTTTTAGTAGAGACGGGGTTTCTCCATGTTGGTCAGGCTGGTCTCAAACTCCCAACCTCAGGTGATCCGCCTGCCTCTGCCTTCCAAAGTGCTGGGATTGTAGGCATGAGCCACCGTGCCTGGCCTATGATTTACAGTTTCTAATTAAAAAAAAATGTGTTATCACACCATTTAAAAATTTGATTTAAATAACCAAAAAACAATAATTGATAAACTATCAGAATTGTAAATGTCTACTTTTATAAAGGTACCATTAAAAATGTAAAGGCAAGCCACAAACTGGAGAAAATATTCATGAAACACGTATATTTGACAAAGGATTTGTATCCAGGATATTTTAAAAGCTCATAAAACTCAATAATACAACAGTATTTGGGAGAAAGTGTACTGATAATCCTCAATTCACTTTGAAATATATCTAAAACATAAGATGGATTGATAGAAGGGCAGAGAAATGGATAGATAGGTAAATATGTAATAAATTCAGAAAAAAATGTTAATATAAGCATGTAAGTGATAAGTATATGAGTGTTCACTATTAAATTATTTCAAACTTTGCTATATGTTTGAAATGTTCATAATAGCTTGTTGGAAAAAGTTTTCATCTGACTCACATAACTAATTTTTATGCTGTACCTCATAAAGCTAAATTTGAAGCAACAAGATGTTGCTATATCCTTTTTAAAAAATGGAGGAATAACGTCTAGATTTTCCAAAATATGTAATAATTCATCCAGCATCTGCAGTTAGAGTATATGCTCCTAAAACCTCTAGATGATAAATTCTGTTTGACAGTTTGCTCCTCTTTTCATCCTTGAAATATCTCTGGGGGAGAATTTTGCCAGTGGTGCATCTTTCATTCACATGTTAAAACAAGCAAACAAAAAAAAAATCATCTATCTGGCCACCTCCTTTGGAAGAGCTCCAAGGCAAGTTTCAGATAGCATGAAGCAAACATTCCTACAGAGTATATATCTTCTTTTTCGTAGGCCACAATAAGATGAAATTTTAAGAGATCAACATGTGAATGCACCCTTGCTTCCAAAAGTAACATTTACTCTTATATTTTGCAACCCAGATCAAAAAGAGTGGGGATTTTAAAGGGCAAATATTTTTCCTATCAAATTTTCCTTCTTCAGAAATGAAAAAAGCAAGATTTGAACTGTGAGTAATGTATTTTTATGTTTGTGTTGAAACTCCATATTTTCAAAGTCTATTGAATGTCTCAGTTCAACTAAATTCTTATAAAAGTAATAAGAAAAGATGAAGAAAGAAGTAAGCAGTGTAAAGTAGAACCAGGGGAAAATATAAATGCAAGAGATTGACTAAATGAACCAGAGGGAAAAAGGATGGAGTTCTAGAATGACACTGTATATATATGGCCAGAGTCAGATCAGTGGCCCCTATAAGAGAATAAAGGAGAGTTGTTTTAATCCTTCATCCATAGTTGAGGCTGTTTGACAGAAAAGTAATCTACTATGACCTTTAAAACCTTTCTATTATATGTTAGCAATGTAGGTGTTAACCCATTGCAAGAAGAGTGATATTTCCAACAGAGCTGCAAACCACTAGCTTAGAAAGCCACATGGAAAAAGAAATACATTTCCCGTTGTGAGAGCATTGTGGTTATGTACAGTGCAGTGCCCGGTGCTTATGCCTAGCTATTGGATGCTGAGGATGTTGACCACACTTGCTATCCCGTCCATATTCATAGGTGCGAAAGCTGGTTAAATTAAACCTCAGGGGTAGTCCTGCTGGGAAATAGCAATTCATAAAGGGCCAGTATGTGCTCTGAGACCTGTGAGTCCAACTGGAAAAAAAGAAACTCTGCCAGTTTTCTTTAACGATAGAGGTAGAGCTTATCTTACTAATAAAATTATGCAAATTATTATATTGCTTTAAAAAATTCCTGCCGTGTAACATCCTTGTGGAGACTATTTAAATTATGGAAAGGGGAAAAAGAAATAGCTGGCAGAAGCAGCTTCCCTTACCATGAATCTTCATAGTCTGCTCTAGTGCAGATCACTAGGTCAGACTTAAACTTGGTCTAAATCACTCTACTACAGACCCCCAGAATGAATTAAAACATTCAGAATTGCTTTTAACTAATTATTACATGTCGAGCACTGTTCTAAGCAGCACTCAAAAATAATTGAACATGCGTTCAAGTCATAGTCAAGGTTTATGTTCACTCTTGTGTCACCATCTATGTCAGTGGTGACCTTTAAATTGTGTTGTGCACAAATATACAGTCACGAATGGTGGTTTTTTGGGGGTATTAAGAATAGAACAATGAACAATATAGACGAGATCTCTGTTCTCATGGAATTTAATATGTACTGTCTAGTTTGGGAAAAAGGAGAATAAATGAGTAAAATAAACAAAAGTTTCAGGTAGTAATGAGTCACAAGCAATAATACAACACGTTATGCAGTACAGAGTGGCACGAGTCACAGTAAGGGAATAGTTACATTACAGATAATATGATTAAGAAAGACCTCTCCCAAGAGTATATCTTTTGGTTGAAGCTGAGTAAGTAAGAGCCAGCCATATGGAAATCTATATGAAGAACAATCCAGCCAGGAGAAATAGCAACCACAAAGGCCCTAACATGGGAATGAGGTTAGAGTATTCATGTTCCAGAAGTTGACAGAAAATAAATATGGCTAGAGTGGAATAAATAGGAGGAAAGTTGCACAAACTGTGAGTGGAGTATTTGGGAGATGCTATATCATGTAGGCCCTGTAATCCATTGAGTGTGATTTTCATTCAATAATAATAGGAAAACATTATGGAGTGTTGAAGTGCAAAACTTAAGCATGAGAGATATATGATTGAATTTATGTTTTTTGTAGATTACTTATGGGGAATTTCCTAGAAACCAACAAGAATTCAAGAACAGTTAGAAGTCCATTTTAATAGTTCATGTAAGGGATTCTAGCGGCTTAAAGTGATAGAAGTAGAGATGAACAAATCACCAACTAATAAATAAGTTTTCAAGAACTAACAAATTTTCAAGAACATTTAGATAATTCATCTGAAATACACTGTGTGTGTGTGTGTGTGTGTGTGTGTGTGTGTGTGTATGCACGTGCGCACATGCATAAAACTTAAGATGCGTCAGGTCCCTGAAGAAAACACCAAAATATCAATGGGTTAATAATTCAAGACACAAAATTGACTGAGTGGTGTGTGTGTGTGTGTGTGTGTGTGTGTGTGTGTGTGTGTAGTCTTCAACTATCTTAGATTCAAAGAAACAAAAAAATCTTTTGTTGGAATACTGTCCTACAGAGACTAGAAGTATCATGCTCTTTTCGATTATGTCTATTTAAAGGGAACAATATGGCCGGGCGCAGTGGCTCACGCCTGTAATTCCAGCACTTTGGGAGGCCGAGGTGGGCAGATCACGAGGTCAGGAGATTGAGACCACGGTGAAACCCCGTCTCTACTAAAAATACAAAAAATTAGACAAGCGTGGTGGCGGGCGCCTGTAGTCCCAGCTACTCGGGAGGCTGAGGCAGGAGAATGGCGTGAACCCGGGAGGCGGAGCTTGCAGTGAGCCCAGATCGTGCCACTGCACTCCAGCCTGGGTGACAGAGCTAGACTCCATCTCAAAAAAAAAAAAAAAAAAAAAAAAAAAAAGAAAATGAAAAAAGAAAAAAAAAGAGAACAATATATTGGGGATAATCAACTAGTCCTGCAACCAAGAGACCTGACTTTGGATCTCAGCTTAGAATACTAGAACATTAATGCTTAGGATACTAGAATATTTTTATTTTTGAGACAGAGTCTCGCTCTGTTGCCCAGGCTGGAGTGCAATGGTGCGATCTCAGCTCTAGAATATTAAATGTGGGCAAGTTGCCCACATTTGATGAATTTCGGGTTTCTTATTTACAAAATAGTAGACTGGATTCAGTGATTTATATGATCCCTTTCTGCATTAGATTTCAATTCTACAGAACCATGTTGGTACTCTCGGTAAACTTAGATAAATCTTAAATGTTTGGGTAAATGTGTTTGGCCCAAATGCATTTACCCAAACATTTAAAGTTCATCTTAGTTTACTGAGAGTACCAACATGGTAAACCCCCATCCCATCGTGCTAAGAATAAATTCTACATTTGTTTGTCATAATTTTGAAATCTATCTTTTTTCTCAAGTCGCGTGCACATTCTGGAGGCTTAAAGTAGCCCTAGAAAACATGGTAGAGGCTCTGTACCCAGTCCTTAAGCACAGATTTCATCTCTGTTGAACTTTCATGGTCAATTTAAATATGCTGACTCTACTGCTTCACTGATAAACTTGGACCACAGGAAAGTACGTGTCTGGGCCCATTTTACCTGCATGCCCTGCATAAGTATTCTTACTAAAATGCCGCTGTCTCTCTGGAGATATGCCGTATCTACCTATTGCCACAGTGAACTGCTAAGTTTTCTGCTATATAAAGATATTCCACCTCTTTACAGCCTCAAGGACAGTTGTCCTTCTTCCTTTGGATGATCTCAAAGGGTTACCTATTTTTCCCTTCTTCCCTTCTGTATCTAGGAAATCTTGTAGCTTTCAAAGCATTTCAAATACAGAGGAAAATCTTTTAATCCCAGAAAGTAGCAACTTTTTACGGTAACACAAATCTCCCCTGAAGTAAATAGGAACAAATGTTGACTATCATCTTGAAGTAGTGGTAGTAGAGTCACTGGAGAAAACAAACACAAATTAACGTTTCAATAAATTATACTGCCACAACTACAAATAGTTAGCTCTTCAAAAAAATTTATTCATATGTCAACAAAATCCTTGTGCTGGAGACTCCAGTCTCTAATAGCTTTAGTGTCTTTAAGGGAACAATCACCTGACATCTATCCCTCACCATGCAAACTCTGGAAAGTTTGCTATACTGTACAACCTATTAGATCTTACTTGCAATAAATCTTAATAAACTTAGAGATAAAAATGTTGATTTTAAATGGTAAATTCTAAATATATATATTTACTTGGAGGCTGACTGTATTTCCAAAGATGTTATTTCTGAATGTTACTTCAGATCATTCCCAATCACCAAAGAGACGACCACTATCCTGAAGTTGTGTGAATCATCTGTGTTCATGTTACCATACTTAACACAAATGTATTCTAAAATAAAACACACACACCTTCAGTGTATATACTTTTTAAACTTATATACTTTTTGAGACTGATTTTTTAAAAGACACATTATATTATAATCCACCCATGGTATCGCACACACAAATATTTAATTCAATTTAGCAACTGAATAATATCATTTTTGAGAATGTGCCATAATTTATTTCTCAAATTCCTTTAAGATGGCCATTTAAGTAATGTCTACTTTTTTATGATAAATAATGCTATATCAAAGTTATTGAAAGAGAAAAAATAAAATAGGAAAAACAATATAAACAATGCTACATTAAGATTCCAATGTGCATAGTTTCTAGTGTGCATGCGAAACAATTTCTTTGATGATAGAGAGGTTGAATTTTCTAAGGTTCTTGGCCCATTAAACTTTTTTTTTTATGGGGTTTGTTGCTCATTTGTCTACTCCATTGCGGAAGTTTTTTTTTTTCAAACACAATCTATTCATGTTTTTCTTTACTGTTTGTGGTTTTTAATGTTGTGTTTAAGAAAACCTTCTCTAACCTAATGTTGTAAAGCTATTTTCATATTTTCTTCTAAAATGTTAATATTTTACCCTTAATATTTACATTTTCTTTCAATCTGGAAAGATTTTGTGTGCTTTATAGTAGGTTCTGATTCGTCTTTGTTCATATGGCTTTCCTATGCTCTCAACATCATTTATTAAAGGGTTCATCCTTTCTCTACAAGTTTGTAATTTCACAACAATATTTTTCTTAAATCTATCCAATCTACATAATTTTCTGGGCTCCATGTTCAGTTCAGTTCTCTGTCTGCACCTTTTTTCTGCCAATACCACGTGGTTTTCATTACTATGACTATTTAAATATTTATATTAGGTTGAATAGTTTTTTTCCTTCATAATTATTCTTAAATTCTTCATATCTTCCTCAAAAGTTTTTTGCCAGTTTTGACTTCCTACTTGTAATTATCGACTTGGCTGGGCCACAGTACCCATATAGTTGGTCAAATATCATTCTAGGTGTTTCTGTGAAGTTAATTTTTAAGATGAGATTAACGTTTAAATCAGCAGACTCTGAGTAAAGCTGATTACCCTCCATAATGTGGGAGGGCCTCATCCAATCAGTTGAAGGTATTAATAGAAGAAAACTAATCTCCCCCTCAAAAAAAAAAAAAAAATTCTGCCCACAGACTGCCATTGGACTCTAATTGTAACATAAATTCTTCTCTGAGTTTCTAGCCTGTCTGTGGCTCTCTAGTTGTTCCAGAACCATTTGTTGTAAAAGCTATTCTTTCCACCACTGAATGGTTTTGACACCTTGTCAAAAATCAGTTTACCATAGACATATGGTTTTATTTCTGGACTTTTGATTCTGTTCTATAAATCTATATATCTATCCTTGTGTGAGCATACCACTGCCTTGATAATTGCCTTGTAGTACGTTTTGAAATTAAAAAGTGCGAGTCCTCCTACAAGCTAGAATCTGTTAGTATAATTTATTATTTATTTATTTCCTGTTTGTTCTATTTGTTTTACTAATTAGTTTATCTTCCCAGCCCAATTCATTTAATTCTTCTGTTGCAAATGTAGTTCATTAATTTTTAAAATGATTTCTTTCAAATATTCATACATAGGTATACAGAAAGCTAGATAGATACAGATTACAAGTATTGATTTAAAGGTTTCCTGGAAGGTTTTCTTTTTCTTTTCTAAATAATATACTTAATAAATTCTAATACTAATTCTTCATTAAATAATGAAAACAAAGTTCACAATATAAAATATCAATGCAGTAAAACTAAACCACTATAAATATCCAATAACTCCAAAAGAAGGAAAATAAAAATGAAAGAGTGTTGACAAGACAAATAAAAAGAAAAATAGTTTAAACAATAAAAAAAATCAGTAATTACACTTAATGGAAATGAATTAGTTGCTTCAAATAAAAAGAAAGTGGCAGGCTATATAAAATTACATGTAACTATATGTTACCTTCAAAAGCCATACCCAAAGAAAGTGGAAGAAATAAATAATTAATAAAAGAACAGAAAGTAATGACACAGAGAACAAAAAATAGAGATTAAAAAGCCAACACTTGCCTCCTATAAACGACTAATAAAATCAACAATGTACTTGAGAGACTATATATTAAACAAATAAAAAGCAATAAGGGGTAAAACAACCAATATCAGAAATATAATGATGTCATAAACATATATATTACCATGTTTACAAAAACAAAAATGGAGATACGTTTACGAATACACTTTAAAACTTTTAAATATCACAATTCACTAGAAACATACAACATCAAAATACATTTAAAAAGAAATAGAAAATTATATATACATTTATACATTATAGAAATTGAGTCAACACGCAATCCTCTTTCTACGACAAACGCTTAAATCCCAAAGAGTTTCACCAGTGTGCTCTAATAAACATTCAAAGATGAAATAATTCCAATCCTACACAGACTCTTCTGAGAATAGAAAAGGAACACTCTCCACTTTTTCACTTCGTATTTTCTTAATTTCAGGAAGAGGAAGAACAGTACAAGAAAAGACAATTACAAGCATTGCCATCCAAGGGAATAAATGGTAAACATAATATAAGCCAGTTGAATCCATCATTATATTAAAAGTTAAATTCACATCAGAAAGAAAAAGTTATTTTATACTACAAAATTAAGGGAAGTTACTATGTAATAAACAAATTACATAAAAAGTATCTTATTGCTTCAACAGCAGATACTTGCACACACGTTTAAAGCAGCACAATTCACGATTGCAAAAATATGGACCCAGCCCAAATGCCCATCAATCAATGAGTGGATAAAGAAAATTATGTGTATATATATATATATATATATATATATATATATATATTACACTGCTTGAGTTATGGGTGCATCAAAATCTCAGAAATCCCTGCTAAAGAACTTGTGCGTGTAACAAAACACCACCTGTTCCCCAAAAACCTATTGAAATAAAAATTAAAAATTGAAAAACATAAATACAATTTTCCAAATCAGTGGACAAAAGATAAAAAGGCACACAAACACAAAAACAAAACCCTTAGAAAATCTTACCAAAGTATAATAGAAATAGAAACCTTCTTAATGGAAAAAACACCATCAAACAATAACATCACAGTTAATGTTAAGATGATTTAAGATTCATTTTGAAATCAGAAACAAGACAAGAATGCCTTCTATCAGCATTTCTATTTAGTGTTGTACTGGATATCCTAGCCAGGGCAGAAAGTCAAGAAATAGAACCAAAATGCCCAAAGATTGGAAAGGAAAAAACACAACTGGTGCTATTCCTATACAACATTGGTAAGTACTGAGAAAATACAGAATAATCTACAAGAAATTGCTAGTATTTATAAGAGAATTTAATAAGATTTCTGGATAAAAATCAATAAAAATAAATTGTAGTTTTATATAACTGCAACTAACAGAAAGTAAAATTAAAAATAAATAAATCTTTTCTGATGGCACAAAAAGTTGAAGCGGTAATAAATCTAACAAGATGTGTAAAGTCTCTACAGACAATATTATAATACTTTTTCAATTTGTACTTGTCAATTAAGGAATGAATTTTTAAAAAGGACGGGTATAGAGACACAGCAAACAGACAAGAATATGTATAAGCACTTGTATGGTGGAGTCATCGCTGCAGCTTACTAAAGAAATCAACGATTTGATTAAGAAGTGGTGAGCGATAGGGTATCCATAAGGAAAACATTTATAATTAAAATTTGACACTTACTTCACACCATAAATAAAGTTATTTCCAGGTAACGACCTAAATCTGAAAGATTCACAAATATATTTTAAAAGACAATTTAGAAGGTTAGCTTCATGCCACACAGTAAAAAGTTATTTTCCTAAGATAGGAAAAGTACAATATTTTTTTTAAATAATATATTTAACTACATTAAATTAAGAAATATTTTCCACTAGAGAAAACCCCAGGTAGTTAAAAGGCAAGCTATGCAACAGAGCGTGAAAAAATCATTGTAACTGATAATACCAATAAAGACCAGCTATTCATAATATAAAAGTACTCTTATACAGCCTGAAGAAAAAGACAACCTAATTTAAAAATGGAAAAAATTTCAACAGATTTTTTTACAATGACAAATTTCAAAAGTCAATTGTTAATGAGATGGGCATTCATCCTTCCCATTGTCAATAGATAAGTATATTTAAATATCACAATCTCTTTAATAGACATGAAAACTAAAATTCAAACCATAATGAAGTGCCATTACATAACCATTAGATAGGAGGCATTAACCCATTTATGCCTGAGGTTGCAATGTTTTGAATTTTTCCAATCAGACCTTGGTGATGACTTGAGCAGTAGGATATAAATAGCTCCCACATGGTTAGCCTTCCAATAATGGAACACTAGGCATAAATGGGCTAATAAGTGAAAATAACTAATGTTGTCAAATAATTTAAATATGAGAAACTTCCACTGTTGTTCGAAGTGAAAATTGATTTGACCCCTTGTGAAATACCTTGACATTATCTTGAGGTTAAGGATATATTTTTTTCTGTGACTCATTCGATTCCCGAAACTTCCCTGTGATGCTGCGTTCCACTACCAAGGGAAATGTGTTCTCATAGGCACCACGACACATATACAAAAATGGGCCGGGCGCAGTGGCTCACGCCTGTAATCCCAGCATGTTGAGAGGCCGAGGCGGGTGGATCATCTGAGGCCAGGAGTTCGAGACAAGCCTGACCAATATGGTGAATCCCCGTCTCTACTAAAATTACAAAAATTAGCCGGGCGTGGTGGCGTGTGCCTGTTGTCCCAGCTACTTGGGAGCCTGAGGCAGGAGAATCACTTGAACCCGGGAGGTGAAGGTTGCAGTGAGCCGAGATCAGCCACTGCACTCCAGCCTGGGCGACAGAGCGAGATTCCATCTCAAAAAAAAAAAAAAAAAAAATGTGCATAGCAGCATTGTTCATGACAGCCACAAATTGGAAGCAATACACATACCCATCAATAGTATTATAGGAATGCATGTATAAGTGGTAAATTTACAAAGAAAAGCAGTGAATTGATTAACACACAAGTTAAGTGAGTGGCTATAGATTTTATTAAGGGAGGATTTTGAGATGATGCAAGGCAGAGGGAATTCCGAGGTGTTGGCAACTTCTTATTTCTTGACCTGTATAATGGTGATGTTTGTTTTTACTTCATAATTACTCATTAAATGTACATATATTTTATTTAGTTTCTATATACTATCACTAAACAAAACAAATATTGTACCTAGGGTTCTAAGTACATGGGAATGCTGCTACAGAAAAATACTTGTCTCCACAGTGATGCTGGCTGGGGCAACACCCAGGGCAACAGGATAATTGCCTTTCCTAACAATCTCATGTGAATGCATAGTTTGTTGAATCTTTTTCACATCAAGATCCCAAATCAAAAGAGAGCCTGGGAATTATTTTTAAGTTTACTAGAGCCGGCAATTTAGAAAGGCGCACTAGAAAGTAGACAAACTAGACCCTGAATGTCAATTATAATACCATCTGAACTCTTCAAATATCATTGGTTCTTTAAGTTGGCTTGTTAATGAGATGGGCATTCATCCTTCCCATTGTCAATAAACAATATAGTGCATATATTCACTGAACTGTGTCACAACTCACACCTGCTAAGTGACATTTTCAAACTGACTTCGTTAATTTGGTCTAGCATGTAGAGAAATAATTTCTCTTGCTTTACCAGAGCCCTTAAAACTCCCGAACCCAATTTCATTATTTACATACAACTACACTTCCAAATCCTCCTATAAATAGCCATTCTGTCCATTAAATACAGGAAGGAGTTTGGTTCAAAGGTTGCTCTGAAGCATTTTCTTAATGGAAAAAATATTTCATCAGAAAAATAAATTTTCATTCTCCTCAGGTTTAGTCTTTCAATGGGCATCAAGTAATATTCACTCTTGCCTCAAATCTAAAACACACACATAAACAACACACAAATCATCCCTGACTACACAGGCCATGCCACTCTCTGAATCTCGGTTTTGGCACATGGTGAATTAATGAATCATGGTTTGTTTCCTCAAACTGCTATAGTGCACACAACACACACACTCGCACAGACCGATTTTCTAAGTCTTTTAAAATATCATCACACACAAATAAATGGAAAAACTATTCCATGCTCATGGATTGGAAAAATCAATATAATAAAAATGGCCATACTGCCCAAAGCAATTTACAAATTTAGTGCTATTCCCTATCAAACTACTAATGTCACTTTTCACAGAATTAGAAGAAAGTTATTTTAAAATTCATATGGAACCAAAAAGGAGCTCAAGTAGCCAAAGCAATCCTAAGCAAAAAGAACCAAGCCAGAAGCATCACACTACCCAACTTCAAACTATACAATAAAGCCACGGTAAGCAAAACAGCTTGATACTGGTACAAAAACAGACACCTAGACTAAAATAACAGATTAGAAAACTCAGAAATAAAGTTGAACACCAACAACCATCTGATGGTCAACAAGGCTGACAAAAACAACCAATGGGAAAAGGACTCCCTATTCAATAAATGGTGCTGGGATAACTGCCTAGTCATATGCAGAAGATTGAAGCCTCCCTTTTACCATCTACAAAAATTAACTCAAAATGGATTAAAGATTTAAATATGATAACTCAAACTAAAAAATCCCAGAAGATAACCTTGGAAATACTCTTCTTGACATTGGCCTTGGCAAAGAATTTTTGGCTAAGTCCCCAAAAGCAATTGCAACAAAACAAAAATAGACAAGTGGGGCCTAATTAAAGAGCTTCTGCACAGCAAAAGAATCAACAGATCAAAGAGGCAACCTACAGAATTGGAGAAGTTATTCACAAACTATGCATCTGACAAAGAACTAACATCCAGAGTCTATAGGGAACTTAAATCAACAAGCAGAAAACAACCCCATTAAAAAATGGGCAAAGGACATTAACAGACACTTTTCAGAAGACATAAAAGTGGCCAAAAAACATAAAAAAAATTTTCAGCATCACTAATCATCAGAGAAGTGCAAATCAAAACCATAAGGAGATAGATATCATCTCACACCGGTCAGAATGGCTATTATTAAAAAGTCAAAAAATAACAGATGCTGGCAAGGCTGTGGAGAAAAGGGAACACTTATACACTGTTCATGGGAATGTAAATTAGTTCAGCCACTGTGGAAAGCATTCTGGGGATTTCTCAAAGAAATGAAAACAGTGCTACTATTAGATCAGCAATCCCATTACTGGGTTTATACCTAAAAGGAAATAAACCATTTAACCAAAAAGACACATGCACTCATATGTTCATCACTGTGCTATTCACAATAGCGAAGGCATGGAATCAACCCAGGTACCCATCAATGGTAGACTGGATGAAGAAAATGTGGTACATATACACCATGGAATACTTTGCATCCACAAAAACAATAAAATCATGTCCTTTGCAGCAACGTGGATGGAGCTGGAGGCCATAATCCCAAGCAAATTAATGCAGGAACAGAAAGTCAAATACCACATGTTCTCACTTAAAAGTGGGAGCTGTGCATTGAGCACACATAAACATAAATAGTGGAATAGACACTGTGGACTACTAGACTGTCTAGGACAGGGGATTGGGCTAAAAACTACCTATCAGGTACGATACTCACTACTAGGGTGATGGGATCTGTACTCCAAACCTCAGCGTCACACAATATTCCCATGTAACAAATCTGCGCAGGTACTGCCTGTATCTACAATAAAAGTTGATAGCACAACAGGAGGACTATAGTGAATAGTAATTTAATTGTACATTATGAAATAACTAAAAGAGTATAATTAGATTATTGTAACACAAAGAATAAATGCTTGAGGGGACGAATACCTCATTTTTCATGATGGTATTATTACACATTGTATGCCTGTATCAAAACACCTCATGTACCCCAAAATATATATACCTACTAAGTGCCAACAAATATTAAAAATAAAAAATAAATAAGTGATAAAAGTTGAAATTCAAATAAGTAAATAAATAAATTGTAATTACAATTAAAAGGGAACACTTTTACACTGCTGACTGAAATGTGAATTAGGACAACCATTAGGGAAAACAGTATGGAGATTCCTTAGAGAACTAAAGGCAGAACTACCATTCGCCAGCAATCCCACCACTGGGTATCTACCCAATGGTAAAAAAGCCATTACATAAAAAGACACATACACACACATGTTTATAGCAGCAAAATTCATAATTGCAAAGATATGGAACCAACCTAAATGCCCATCGAGGGATAATGAGAGGATCAATAAAATCCGCTGTATATACACCATAGAATACTACTCAGCCATAAAAAGGAACAAAATAGTGTCATTTGCAGCAACTTGGATGAAGCTGGAGGCCATTCTTCTAAGTGAAATAACTCAGGAATGAAAACCAAATATTGTATGTTTTTACTTATAAGTGAGAGCTGAGCTATGAGGAGGCAAAGGCATAAAACCGATAAAATGCGCTTTGGGGCCTCAGGAGGGAAGGTTGGAAGGAGGGTGAGGGATAAAAGACTACACATTGAATACCGTGTACACTGCTCAGGTGACAGGTGCACTAAAATCTCAGAAATTGCCACTAACAAAATTAATCCATGTAACTGAAAACCACCTGTACTCCAAAAGCTAATTTAAAAAAAACCTCTAAATACAAAAAAAATCAAAAAATGAAATGAAATGAAATATCATCGTAATTGAATAAGCTTACAATCTTGTTATAACTAAGATGTCATGACAAGATTTCCTAGTATGGTACCATAAACCATCAATCTCAGATGACTCAATCATTCTGAAAATCTCTACAAAATATAGCATTCTACAGTCGTAGTTCCCCTTTTGCACAGCTCCTACCCGGCTCATAGAGAAGAGAATTTTTTGTGAATAAGTTATAACTTCTCTTTAAACATCCTTTCCATTTTTAGGCTACTTGAGATTTCATAAATTTAAAGCTGTTAATACAATGAAGTCAAATCTTACCTTGATATCTGATTATGTGCTAGCAAAGATTATTGATTATTTTTAATATGGGATAAATTCATAATTACCCTTGAAAACCTCTTAAATCAATCATAATATACAATGTCAACTAAATCATTTTTATCAGTTTCTCTAAAGCTTCTTTAGTCAATTTCCTTTACCCATGGCTCCCAATTAGCTCTTTAATTAATTATTTGAAGCTGGCAGGGAATCACAAACCCCTAAACAATGTATTTTTCTTCTTCTCATTGGTACCTAATAGGTTTTCTTTTCACTAGTTTCAAGCCAGGTTTCAAATGAAGCTGGAATTAAATACTGTATCAAATACAGTGGCCCCTCCAATTTTGCCATATCATTCAGGGATCTTTCCTCCCTTTTCATAGACAATCTAATTTTCCTTTTAGAATCCACCTTGAATGATGCAGACACAAAAACCACCTTCTTTAAATTTCTTTCCACTATTCATACTTTGCCCAATAACACCTAGTGAAAAATTCCTATAGAAATGAATAACCTCATGAAAATTATTAACTTGTGCATTCAGGTTAAGCCATGCATTCTCAAACTCGACAGTCAGTGCTTCCATGTCAAGATTACTGCTTTTCTCATGTTACCCTCCTGCTGAAAGAGTGTTCATTACATCAATCTGCAGAAACTGTGTGCACTCCCCTTCCTCAGTAACAATCTGGTAAGTAGTTTAGATGAATGATGGAGTGTTTCTTGGCTGATTTCTATGCTATTCTTTGATGGAGGCACGGCCATATGTTATGTCACAGTAGAATAATCTCAGACAAGCCCACAAATACATAAATCCTTAGTTACATAGATTTTAATGTCTGGAAGAGCATGAAATTGTTTCTGTTACTAGAAGAAAACACTACTTTACAAATACAAGACACATAGAGATTAGCAGTTGACACAGACAATTCTTTCTTTTTTATCCGTTTAAAATCCATACAGTTTATCTTTAATGGCATCTCTGAAGGTTTATGCTAATTTTCCACTTCTTCCACAGTGACCTTATTTTCTTTGTCACTCTTCTCTCTCTTCAAGGTCATTGTTATCAGAAAATAGGCTCCATTCTTCTTTATTTTCAGCCGTCTAGGTATGTGGGTAAGCATATTGTGGGAGACCCTACAAACTGCTTCCCCTGAAGACCCTATGAAATAATCTTTAGATCTTTCAGCTAAACATCTATAATCAAAATTTCTCTTGGAAACATCAAAAGCCATTAGTTGATGTTATGATAATAGACATTTTTCTCTCTTTTCTTATGTTAGCTGAAGCTCTCTTCTAGGAAGGGGAATGAGGAAAGAGTAGTTAAAGTAGGGAGCAATCTTACCTTACTGCATAAAATTGGGGAGATAGACGAGCACTATGTGGCACTTTTCTATTTTTTTATTTTTATTTATTTTATTATTTTTTTTTTTTTTTTGAGACGGGGTCTTGCTCTGTCACCAGGTTGGAGTGCAGTGGCATGATCTCGGCTCACTGCAGACTCCGCCTCCTGGGTTCAAGCTATTTTCCTGCCTCAGCCTCCTGAATAGCTGGGACTACAGACACGTGCCACCACGCCCAGCAAATTTTTGTATTTTTAGTAGAGACAGGGTTTTATCATGTTGGCCAGGATAGTCTCGATCTCCTGACTTCGTGATCCACCCTCCTCGGCCTCCCAAAGTTCTGGGATTAAAGGCGTGAGCCACCATGCTCGGCCCGGCACTTTTTCTGTAGGAGGTGATGGCACAACAATTTAGTATTCTTATAAGAGAAGTGGAATTTTTAAAATATTATTACTTTTTTAAGGTAGAGAGAATGTACCTCCATAATAATGCTTTCTGACTTTTTACTTTATTTCTTAACTTCTGAACCCTAAAGCTATTCAGGCACTGTTTTTATGGTAGTTCTGGAACTATCAGATAGTAGGAGAAATTATAGATCTTTCTCCAAAGTCAAAAGTCAGTTTACTAACCAGAGGCACAATTTAAAGACTTTTTCCTTCAAATAAATCAAATCCCTGTAGTCTTTAACTCAAAAAATCCCTTACCTCCATTGTTAATTTGCGAAGATAAAATTTTAAAGTTCACTGAGCTATATTTTCCACCTAAATTATGTACAGGTTGAGCATCCTTAATCTGAATGAAAATCTAAAATTCAAAATGCTCCAAAATTTAAAGCTTTTTGAGCATCAACATGACACCTCAAGTAAAAAGTTCCACACCTGACCTCATACGATGGGTCACAGTTAATACACAGGTACACAACACACGGTTTATTCAGCTTCCCCAAGGGAAAAATGATTCTGCCAGCCATTTAAAAAAGACATTCAATAGAATGCCTCTTCCTGCCTAGATGCTTCTGGGGCCCCACTACTGCTTCTGAGGTTTCTTCTCACCTAGAAAAATAAGATAGAGTGTACAGTAACTTTTTAGTAAAAACACAGCATTGTATGTGGAGACTGAAAACTTGCCATTGTTTGTTGTTGCTGTTGTTGAACAGTTGATACAGGTATTCTGGTAATGCTACTGTGCTGCTTAGTTATCCCCAAAACATTATGTTTTTACCGTATTAATAGTATATCATTTTGTATTGTCAAGTATTTATATGTGAATAATTGTAAAGAAATGAATGCTTATGAGTAGCATATAAATTCAGAGTCAGGAATGATGGTAATGCCAAAAAAACAGATTTTCCACATGGGTGACTGCAATAATGACACCTTTGCTTCCAGATGCTTCAACATATACAAACTTTGTTTCATGCACAAAATTATTAAAAGTATAAAACTATCATCAGGATATGTTTATGTCTACATGGAACATAAGTAAATTTAATCTTTAGACTTGAGTCTCATCCCAAGATATCTCATTATGTATATGCAAATGTTTCCCAATCTGGAAAAATCCAAAACCTGAAACACTTCTGGTCTCAAGCATTTTGGAAATTGGATACTCAATCTGTATTCCATTAAAATAAAAGGATAAGGGATACTAAATAGGCCAAGATCCTCTCATGTCATGTAATGTCTTCCAACAAAAGTAATTGTGATAACTACAATGCCATATTTGTTATCAACTATGTGTCTGTTACAAAATATACTATTGGAAGACCAGGTTAATGATACATACTTTGAGAAATTCCAAGCTAAAGAATTTATTTAAGTAAACATGCAAACACTTCATTTATTTTTATTATGTTATTATAGTTTTTAGACAGCTTTTCAAGCCAACATCTCCAAGAAGCTACAAAGTTTCGCACATGTTCTCCTCTAAGTACCTGTTCTGATTGATTATAAACCTCAGTGCTGATGAATAAAAGGAAAGACTGTATTCCTATGACTTCAGTCTGCCCATTGGTGATTGAGACAGGACCCTTGTCCTGTCACTCCAGTGTCAGTGGTCTCTGCTAATGTGGGATGAGTTCCCTGTGTGACCTCAGCATGGGAAGGGGCCATGGTTAATTCATATCTTTGCCTCTTTTACCATGGAAAACCTTCAAAATAGAAGCCACATCTTCAACCACTGCCAGCAGTAACCCCATTCAACTCATTTTCTGGGTTATGATCACAGTAACTCAGAGAAAGAGTCGGACTCAGATAATGAGTCAGAGAGGGTTACTGCTAGCAGTGGCTGAGGATGCGACTTCAGTCCTCTTTTAAGCTGAGTTTGAAAGTGACCTGAAGGTTTGGTACTACTATTATCTCTTACCCAGAAAAATCATTTCTTCTACCATGTCTTATCTGCTATTAAGCACATTCAGTGATTTTTTTAAAATCTCAGACACTTAAAATTTGGCTAATAGCAACTCTATTGGGTCTTTTTTCTGTATTTTCCAGATTTCTGCTTAAATTTTTTAACATATGGAGTACAATTATGATAGCTATTTTAATTTCCTTATCTTCTACTTCTAACATCTGTGTCAGATATGGGTTTCTTTTGAGTGATTGATTGTTCTCCTCATTATAGCTCATATTTTCTGGTCTTTTTATACCTGGTATTCTTTGGTTTGACACCATAAATTATGAATTTCACCTTGTGGTGGTGCTGAATGTTTTTTATTCCAATAAATATTATTGAGTTTTGTTTCAGGACATATTTAAGTCATTTGGAAAAGTTTTAATCTTTTGGAATCTTGCCTTTAAGATTTGTTTTGCTCTCAAAAACTCTGTCAGCTAAGTGTTTTAATATTTACTTTATAGATTATAAAAATTAAATGTATAGAGATTATGTAAAAGTCATATACTTGTATGTGATAGGTTCTCAAAAATTGTCATTAAAGAAATAGAATTCAAATCCCTATGATTCTAAAGACACCATGCTGTCACTCTTACTATTTTCCATCTGTTTTTAATGAATTCACTTATTAATCAGATGAAAAGTCCCTTAAAGATATCTTAAATACAAAATGTGAATACCACGCTAAACAATAACATATAACAGTTTTCTTACCACTGACTCTGTAACAATTCAGTATTCTAATCTGGTCTTTCTATTTAACACTAACTATATATTGTTATAATATGTAAAAAATATACAGCTAAAATTTATATTGAAAATAATCTTTGTTTTTATATTTTGATATTATAAAAATGTTTCACTATGTTGCAAATAGCCAGACTATTCTAAAATACTTATTTTCAGTGATGTCTTAAATCCTTATTTTCCATTAATAATAAATAAGGCAAACAGCTGACTACACCACTGATCCAAAAGGATGATTTGGCAGTTCCTGCCTCAGAGATTATGTTCATTTTCATGTTTATATTTTATTTAATTTACTTTGGAAGAAATGCTTTCATTTTCCTCTTTGTAACTAGAATAATCCCCATTATGAATTCAAAACAGTAGCAGTAAAAAACAAAGGCTTATTTTATTTAAAGCCAGAAATAATCAAGTTATAACAATGCACTCATTCACTCACCCCTGCACACACACATGCATGCGTATCTACATACATAGACACACACACACACGTGTGTATGTGTGTGCACGTATGCATATATGCATGTGTGTGGTGCATATATATGTGTGTAGTGTGTGGGTGTATGGGTGTATGTGTGTAAAAATGTAAAATTCTGACTTATGTGGTATATATTCATTAATAAACTCTAATGGATAGTCCTTACTCTTTGTTTTGGTCACCCAATCTATGAACCAATACAACACTTATGGAAAACCTCACTTTATGAGACAGAACCTGTCTGTCCTTATAGAGGCTGAAAATGCCAGCTACTTGATTTCTGAGCATCCCTGAAAGCTATGGTCTAGCATGTGACTGTGGCTCTGTCAATCAATTTTTTTTTCCCCTCTGGAGAGTGGACTAGAAGCTATTAATAAGAATAAAAAACTGCTCAGAATCTATTCTAGCGATAGAAAGCAGAAGCTACTTTCAGTATGCAGAAGAAGCCTATCAGTGATTCAAATGATGGTATTTAGTGACCCATTTAATTATTATTTGTAGTTCCAGCTATAGTGTGTCTGCCCAGGGATTCTAGCAGTAAGTTGTTTCCTGGAACAATTCCACAGTGTGATTACTGGGCATAATTTTAAGCTGTTCAACTCCAGTCCTGATTCTTGAACCTTTCAGATATTTTAGATATTCTAGAAACTGCCCAATATCGTTTTAGTAAGTTTAATTTCTGTGTGACTAAGCCACAGTAAGTCATGATTATTCTGACTGACATAAAACTTGATACTAGAAGAGATCAAAGACAATAGATCCTTAAGGAAAGGGGGGAAATCACCTCTTTCCCTAAAAAAGAAAATTGTTATATAGCCAGGTTGGCACTGAAGGAAGTAAATCTCCACTTAATAATAAAGAATGAGACTCTAGCATTCTGTACCACAGAATGAGAAACAAATTCATGAAATTATCCTTGGTGTCTCTTGGAATTGAGTGTTTGTTAATGATTTGACTAAAGAAATCCAAGTAGTGGCTGTCCTATAAAAGTATAAAGGTCACGAGTATTCCAAATCTGTAGGATAGCATAGTTGCTTGAAAAGGCATTGAGATTTGTAAATACAATGAGAATGTCATGCTCACGTCATAATTTCCTTTCAAGGCAGTATTGAAATATAATTGACTTTCTTTTAAAATTTTTTAATTTTTTATTTCTGTGGGTACATAATAGGTGTATATATTTGTGCGGTACATGAGATATTTTGATATAGGCATGTTATGTGAAATAATCACATCATGGAGAATGGAGTATCCTTCCCTTCAAGCATTTATCCTTTGAGTTAAAAACAATCCAATTACACTCTTTAAGTTATTTTTAAATGTACAATTAAGAACATGTGAAGTTTGTATTTCTCTTCCAGGCTTATTTCACTTAACATAATGATCTCCAGCTCCATCCATGTTGTTGTAAATTGCTAGATCTCATTGTTTTTATGGCTGAATAGTACTCCATTGTGTATATTCACCATACTTTCTTTATCCATTCATCTGTTGATGGAAACTTAGGTTTCTTCCAAATCTCAAACGTCTCCCTGGTTAACACTCTCAGAAGAAGGCCTCCTGGTTTCTAACACCCAGATTTCATGGAGAGCACAATCTCTCACAAAAATTTTATTCAATATTTATGAAGAAAAAATATATTTATACTCTCAAAATGCAATATATTATTAACAAACAAGATGCCATTTTACAATATTTATAGAAATGCCTTAAGCATTTAATGGTTAACATAATATTTGTTACTTACATGTAGTTTTTTATGGCACTTTGGTAATAAATTATTTAGGAATTTGAGTTGACATGAAACACAAAACACTTTTTATTTAAAAAAAATAAAATAGGCCCCTCATTATTTTCAGGCAAAATATCTGATTTTAAGGAACAGATTACTAATGCTAAATGAGAGATGACTTAAGTGGCTTTTCCTCTTTTCTTCCTTTATACTTTCTCTCTATTTTTATGGAGATACTTAATGATAGTTAAAATTTAAATTTTGTACATAGGTTATAGAATATCAAAAATATATATCTGGGTCAGGTGCAGTGGCTCATGCCTGTAATCCCAGCACTTTGAGAGGCTGAGGCAGGTGGATCACCTGAGGTCAGGAGTTTGAGACCAGCCTGGCCAACATGGTGAAACCCCATCTCCACTAAACACACACAGACACACACACACACAGACACACACACACACACACACACACACACACACACACTCACACACACACACACACACAAAATAGCCAGGAGTGGTGGCAGGTGCCTGTAATCCCAGCCACTCGGGAGGCTGAGGCTAGAGAGTTGCTTGAACCCAGGAAGCGAAGGTTGCAGTGAGCTGAGATCGGACAACTGCCCTCCAGCTTGGGCAACGAGCGAAACTCCATCTCAAAAAAAAAAAAAAAAAAGATATATGACAGAAATACAGTAGAGTAGATGTACTTTTCATCTAAAGAACCTGGGCGTGAAGCTGGATACAGTAAATAATGAGCATTTTGCGTACAGTCCAGTTGTTCTCAAGCAGAGACAGTTTTAACCCCCAGAGATATCTGGCAATGTTTGGAGATATTTTTGATTGTAACAACTGGGGAAGAGGTGCTACTGACATCTAGTGGGTAGATGAGAGGGATACTGCTAAACATCCTACACTGCAGGACAGCCCCTCACAGCAAAGAATTATCTGGACCAAATGTCAATAGTGCTGTGGTGAGAAACCCTGATCTGATCTTGTATGAAGATAGACCATTTACATTTCAGAAGGATACCTACAAATAATATTATTTCTCTTTAATAGAGGTGAAGAAATAGAAAACAAAAGCTGCGTGTTTATGTGCTAGTGCAAGAGGTAAACTCTAAAGAATGTTTGCTACTATTTTGGCCACTCAGCATAACCATTCTCTATGTTTTAGGAATCTCCCAATTTATTAGGCAAATTGTCCTTCCACTATAGAAGCTAAAGATCCCAAATACTTGTTTTCTCCGCCTCTTTTGAACCTAGGGCCAAAGCACCAGAATTGGGTTCTATCAATTTCATGCACGTTCTTCAGATTTGGAATTAGAAGCTGCCAGTGATGTGGAAAAGTACAATTGTAAAATCTGTTCTGGTCACACAAAAAAGGAATAGTGGAAACAATATCCACTTTCCAAAAGCAGCAGCATCTAATGCCCAGTGTTTGCAAGTTCAGCATTACACTCTGCAGAGTAATCAAGTACAGTCATGCCCTGCGTAACAACTTTTCAGTCAGCGATGGAACACAGATACGACTTTGCTCCCATAAGGTTTCCATCACCTAGTAACGTGTTGATGCTGACACTGTGCATGCCTGGGCTAATGTGTTTGTTTGTATCTTAGTTTTTTAACAAAAGTTTAAAAAGTTAAATAAAAAAAAAAAACTTAACTAGAAAAGAGGAGACAGCAGGGAGGTGTGCCCATAATCCCAGCTACTTGGGAGGCTGAGGCAAAAGGATTGCTTGAGCCCAGGAGATAGAGACAAATCTGGCAACATAGCAAGACTCCCATCTCTAAAAAATATGTATAATAAAGAAGAAAGTTTTAAAGGAAAAAAATAAAATAGAAAAGAGCATATGGAATAATAATATAAAAATATTTTTGTGCAACTGTACAATAGTTGGATTTTAAGCTAAGTATTACTACGTAAGAACCACAAAGTTAAAATATTTAAAAGTTTATAAAGTAAAAATGTTACAGTAAGCTAAGGTTAATTTATGATGAGAAAATAAACCTTTCTATAAGTCATGAGTAGCCTAAGTGTACAGTGTTTACAAAGTCTACAGTAGTATACAATAATGTCCTAGGCCTTTTCATTCACTCACCACTCAATGTCTCACTCAGTGCAACTTCCAGTCCTGCAAGCTCTATTCATGGTAAGTGCATATAGGTGTAGCATTTTTAATCATTTATACTGCATTTTTACTGTACATTTTCTATATTTACATATGCAAATATTTAGCATTGTTTTCTAATTGCCTGAAGTATTCTGTACAGTAACATGTGTATAGAGTTATAGCCTGGGAGCAATAGGCTAGACCATATAGCTTAGGTGTGCAGTAGGCTATGCTGTCTAGGTGTGTATAAGTACACTATGTTGTTCGTAAAATGATGATATTCTCTAACGATGCATTTCTCAGAACGTATCCTCATCATTAAGCAATGCACGACTGTATTTATTTCCTTCTTAATGCTGTCAAAGTCAAATCACGTTGCTTAAAACTAAGAGTTCTTTCTGTTAAAATCAATTATCACTTAGTGAGCTCCATCCATTGGCGTTGTCAAAATGTAGAGGAGGCTATATAAATAAGACACAGGCTCTGTTAGTGACCTTGCTTGTAGGGGAAATGTACTGGGTGTTATAGTACATACATGTTCAAGGAGCTATTGGGATACAGCTGGAATTTTTTCTTGTGCTCATTTTGATTTCTTCTTTAATTTGTGGATTATTTAAGTAAATTGCCTAATTCTTAAACATTTGGAGATGTTTTAGTTATTCTTGTTACTAATTTCTAATTCAATATCTCAACAGTCAAAATATGTTTAATGCTAATCTTTAAAACATGTTGAGGCATGCTTAAATTACAGTCATATAATGAATTTTGGGCCATGGTCTATATGTACTTGAAAAGTGATTTCTATCTTTGTTGAGCAGAGTGTTTTGTATATTTCCATTTGATCAAACTTGATATTTGTGTTAAAAATCTTCTATGGGCTTTTGACTAATTTTTCTTCCTATTACTGAGAAAATTGCGTTAAAATTTTTCACTATGACTGTGGATTTATCTATTTGTTTCTTATTTTCTGTCAGTTTTTGCTGTATGAGCTTTTGAAGAACATTACTATTTGTATGAAAATTTAGAATTATTACATTGTTTTAGAAGACTGATCCTTTAATCATTATGATATGTGAAATATATTCTGCTGGTACGCCATTAGAATTAATAACATAATTTAACAAGGTTGCTAAATACCAAGTCAATAAGAAAAAAAATCACTTTTACTTGTATACATCAATAGCAAACAGGAAATTACATTTTTTTAAATGATGCTCTTGGCAGTAACATCTAAAAAAATGAAATGGATCAGAAAATATCTAATGAGACCCCCTACATTAAAAACCATAAAACATTACTGAGAAAAATTAAAGAATACTGTATTAGTCTGTTTTCAGTCAGCTGATAAAGACTTATCCAAGACTGGGAAATTTACAAAAGAAAGAGGTGTGCTGACAGTTCCACGTGGCTGGAGAAACCTCACAATCATGGTGGAAGGTGAAAGGCATGTCTCACATGGCAGCAGACAAGAGAAGAGATCTTGTGCAGAGAATCTCCCATTTTTAAAACCATCAGATCTTGTGAGACTTATTCACTATCACGAGAACAGCATAGGAAAGACCAGCTCCCATGATTCAATTACCTCCAACCAGATTCCTTCCACGACACATGGGAATTGTGCAAGTTACAATTCAAGATGAGATTTGGGTGGGAACACAGCCAAACCATATCATTCTGCCCCTGGCCCCTCCCAAATATCTTGTCCTCACATTTCAAAATCAATCATGCCTTCCCAACAAACCCCCAAAGTCTCAACTCATTTCAGCATTTCAAAAGTCCACATTTCAAAAGTCCACAGTCCAAAGGCTCATCTGAGACAAGCCAAGTCCCTTCTACCTATGAGCCAGTAAAATAAAAAACAAGTTAGTTACTTCCTAGATACAACGGAGTACAGGCATTGGGTAAATACAGCCATTCCAAATGGGAGAAATTCGCCAAAACAAAGGGGCTACAGGCCCCATGCAAGTCCAAAATCCAGTGAGGCAGTCAAATCTTAAAGCTCTAAAGTGATCTCTTTGACTTAATGTCTCACATCCAGGTCATGCTGATGCAAGAGGTAGGCTCCCACAGCCTTGGGAAGCTCCCCTGTGGTTTTGCAGGGTATAGCCCCCCTCCTGGCTGCTTTTATGGGCTGGCATTGACTGTCTGTGGCTTTTCCAGGCACATGGTGCAATCTACCATTCTGGGGTCTGGAGGATAGTAGCTCTCTTCTCATAGCTCCACTAAGCAGTGCCCCTGTGGGGACTCTGCGTAGGGGATCCCACCCCTGCGTTTCCCTTCTGCACTGCCCTAGCAAAGGTCCTCCATGAGCACCTCGCCCCTGCAGCAAACTTCTGCCTGGACATTCAGGTGTTTCCATACATCCTCTGAAATCTAGGCAGAGGTTCCCAAACCCCAATTCTTGACTCCATGCACTTGCAAGCTCAACACCATATGGAAGCCACCAAGGCTTGGGACTTGCATCCTCTGAAGCCACAGCCCAAGCTCTATGTTGGCCCCTTTCAGGCACAGCTGGAGTGGCTGGGTCCCAGGGCACCAAGTCCCTTGGCTGCACACAGCATGGGAACCCTAGGTCCAGCCCGCAAAACCACTTTTTCTTCCTAGGCCTAGGGGCCTGTGATGGGAGGGGCTGTCGTGAAGACCTCTGACATGCCCTGGAGACATTTTCCCCATTACTTTGGGGATTAACATTAGGCTTCTCTTTACTTATGCAAATTTCTGCAACTGGCTTGAATTTCTCTTCACAAAATGGATTTTTCTTTTCTATTGCATTGTCAGGCTGCAAATTTTCTGATCTTTTATGCTCTACTTCCCTTTTAAAACTGAATGCTTTTACAGCACCCAAGACACCTCTTGAATGCTTTGCTTCTTAGAAATTTTTTCCACCAGATATTCTAAATCAACTCCCACAAATTCAAAGTTCCACAAATCTCCAGGCCAGGGGCAAAATGCCACAAGTCTCTTTGCTAAAAGTAAGAAGAGTCACCTTATCTCTAGTTTCCAACAAATTCCTCATCTCTATCTGAGACCACCTCAGCCTAAATTCATTGTCTATATCATTATCAGTATTTTGGTCAAAGCCATTCAACAACTCTGGGAGTTCTAAACTTTCCCACGTTTTCCTGTTTTCTTCTGAGCCCTCCAAACTGTTCCAACCTCTGCCTGTTACCCAGTCCCAATTCGCTTCCACATATTCGGTTATCTTTTCAGCAGTGCCACACTCTACTGGTACAAATTTACTGTATTAGTCCATTTTCATGCTGCTGATAAAGACTTACTTGAGACTGGGCAATTTACAAGAGAAAGAGGTTTATTGAACTTACAGTTCCACGTGGCTGGGGAGACTGCACAATCATGGCGGAAGGTAAAAGGCATGTCTCACATGGTAGGAGACAAGAGAAGAGAGCTCGTGCAGGGAAATTCTCAGTTATAAAACCATCAGATCTCCTGAGACTTATTCACTATCATAAGAACAGCACAGGAAAGAGCCCCCCGCCCGTGATTCAATTACCTCCCACCAGGTTCCCTCCACAACACATGGGAATTGTGGGAGTTACAATTCAAGATGAGATTTGGGTGGGGACACAGCCAAACCATATCAAATACCTTAGTAAATTAAGGAATATACAATGTTCATGAAATGAGGAACTCAGTTTATTAAAGAGATCAATATCCCACAGATTAGCCTAAGTTACAATGTAATCAACCAAATTTCATTTTTTTCTTTTAAGTTTTGTGTTTTGCTGTTGTATTTTTTGTCTTTTTGCTTATTTATTTTTTGTTTCTTTGTGGACATTTACAATGGTTTTAGAAGCACGGGAAAGTCTGCCCTCCTACAATAGAAAATTGCCACTTTCTCTCTCATTGATGTTGAAATCCCACATTTAAATATTCACTGTACAATTTTACTTTCCTTTGCTCCTCTTTTAGTGGCACTCCTCCATCTCTCTGGGAGATCCAACACTTGAGGGCTTATGAGCCGTTTCAGTATGAATGAAAGGGAGAAGAACAGAACAGAGGTAAGAGGCATCGAGAAGGGTAAAGAAAAATGAGATCAATAAAGACAACCACAGGCTATACAGAGACAGGCCTTTTTCTATTTCTCAGTCCTACTTGGAGAAGCTCTGTTTAACAAAATTTAGAAAAGCCAATGGGCAAAGTATTTCTGCTTACTGCTTTATTGTCTATCCCAGTGTAAGCCAGAAAATGAATTAGTCACCACCTGTTTAATTAAAAAAATTAATTTAACACTTTAAATTTTTAAATAAAAGTTGAAAAATAAAAATCATATCTTTCTTTTTTAGTTGATATATCATCTGGATTCCAAAACATGATATTCTGTTTTCTTTGGGACATAAGAATAAATGTTTTGATGTTTGTGACTATGTGATTAATTTGCCACATGGACTGGGAACAAAAAGATTTCAATACTTCTTAATATTTAAAGTTCAACCATTTGTCTTTGATAAAATGCTGAGCTCAGCAGTTCATATTTTTCTCATTTGTAAGATAGAGGGACTGAAATAGCTCATGAATGGGTTCTCTTTTACTCCTTTAAGAGTACATGACTCTAAGTCAGATGTTCATTTGATTATTCAGGAAATACTTTATGAATAATGCAAGATAATTATATATGACTCTTCTCTTTTATACATAGCAATTTTTTTTCTAAATTTTTTCAGTGAAGGAGTAGATGTAAGTATCTATTTTGCTAGAAATGAGGATTACAGCAAAGTCTAAGGTTTCACTTAGTTTAAAAAGTTGAAGATAAAAGAGTGAATATTGTTAATATCAACATTATTTAGAAAATAGGTTTTACATCTCACAGATTCCATTCAGAAACTCATAATGTTTTAAATCATCCAGAAATGCTCGAAGGGCAGACAACTTATTCTGTGTGTGACACTTATAATAACACAAAACTTTGATTTCTTAAATATGATTTCTAACTCAAACTCCTTTATTTACTCTGGCAAAACATATAAAAATAAAACAAAGTTAAATTAAGTGACCAAAAAAGATGTAAATTGCCTGTGTTAGATAATATTTAAAATATAACTTCCTGATGTTAGAATGCCCTAACTTGAGAAAGGTGTCTGAATCTGCTATAAAGAAATACCTGAGGCTTGGTAATTTATAAAGAAAAGGGATTTATTTTGCTCACTGTTCTTCAGGCTATAAAGCATGGCTTCAGCATCTGCTTCTGCTGAGAGCCTCAGAAAGCTTCCGGCTATGGCAGAAAGTGAAGGTCAGCAAGCATCACATGGTAAGGGGGAAGGAAAAAGAGAGGGGCGGGAGGTGCCAGACTTTTCTAAGCAACCAGATCTCACATGAACTAATAGAGCAACAAGCAATAACTCACTAATTACCAAGGAAAGGGCACCAAGCCATTCATGAGGGATCCTCCCCCATTACCAAACATCTCCCTTTAGGCCCCACCTCCAAAATTAGGGATCAAATTTCATCACGAGATTTGGACGGGACAAAAATCCAAACTATATCAACAGGCAAATTAGTAGATGAATTATTTAAAAGCTTGCTATCTCTACAGTTTGATGCTTTTAGATAGGATTTAATCAATCAACAAATAGTTATATCCAAAGTTACTTAGACTAGTGGTCTTTAAATTGTGGTTCTTGGAATTTTGAGATTTTTCACAAGGAGATTTAGAAATTTACCAAAGAGGTAGGGATACAAATAACCAAAGCAGCATTTATTTAAAAGTTTGCAAATTCATTGGATTACATATAAAATTTCGATTTAAAGGTGGAATATGTTGCTGTAAACATTTGGATACCACTGATTTATGCGTAAACAATATTTTCAATTATATAGATTAATAAGGTAATTGATTAAAAATAATATCTATTGTATATTGGGCATTTATTAAATCCCAGGCACTGTTTGAGTGCTTAAGGTGCACTAACTTACTTCATCCTAACACCAATCCAGTGGTCATTATCTATATTTTACAGATGTAGAAATGAAGACACTGGACAATTAAATAACTGTTCCAATTAGTAAATAAAGAAACCATGACCAAACTCAGACTATTTAGCTCCAGAGTGTTCACTTTTACCTATGACAGTAATTTACTTTCTTAGGACCTCCTTAGGATAATGGACATTTTTGAAAGCTAGACAAAAGTGAGAAAGTAGAATAAATTGGGTTTCTGTTCAGAAAAACAGCACTACAAAAGTGGCATTAAAATATTCATCTAGTAATGAATGTAGGATAAATATATGATAGCAGAGCCTAGGTTTGGGTATTTGGGCTTATTCATTCATTCACTCATTGGACAAATACTCAATGAGCCAGTCACTCTCATTTGCACTTAGGTTACGTTGATGAACAAAGCATACAGAAAATTCTGTCCTCTTGGACCTTGCCTTCTAATGGAAACAGAGACTAGAGTAGTTTCCTGGGCTTAAGGGCCTGGCCTAGGAAGTTAGCAATAAGCCTGTGAAGTAAAGAATAGGTTAAAACTATTTAAACAATTTTTTTGTACCTAAAAGTTATGACAATGGTAGAAGGATGGGAAAATCAGAAAGGAGGACTAGTTTTGGAAAAATGAATTGTTTTGAATAGCTGATTTTGAAGAAATAGCAAGACATCCATTTGTAAATATTTAGAAGGCAGTTAGCAATAGAAAGCTGAGCTTTAGTGAGATTAAACTACATAGATACCAGAGTCATTAACATTATTATTAGGTAATATTCATCCCAATGGCAAGTTTTAGTTGGAATCACAAAATCGAATAATATTCTTATGGAGAAGGAAAGTCAGCAAGCCAAACACTGAAGATTTGTGAATTCTCAAAATAATAGGAAAGGAGAAGTAAAAAAGATGCATTCAAAGTAACAAACTGATTTGCTGAATATGTAAGAGGAGTAACAAGGTAGAATATAGTCACAATTCAATGTAAATGTAACAGTCAACTACAGTCAATAAAATATCAAAAGCAATGGGGATTTTAAAATAAATGAGTCAGAAGGAAAACCTTTTATTTGGGAATCCTAAAGACATTATTGATGTTCAAAATAAAATCTTGCTAGAATGTTGAATGAAATCAGGGTAAAATGAGAAAAAAAAATGCATAAATGCCACTTGTTTTACACATATCCTAGTACAAGCTAGGGGAGAAGTAGATTATTAGGAAGAAAGATCTCTTTTATTTTGGTAGTAAGGGCATCAAGAACAGAAAAGTATTTGGAAACCACAAATAAGCTGATGATTACAGAAAACATTACTTAGCTTTTAAAAAGCTGTGAAACAAATAGCTTACTAAGATGCAGACTAATTCCTTAGTCTTTCCACTACTATATGCTACTACCAAGAGAGTAACAGAAATCTGTCACATATTTATAACAATGCTTGCTCATTTTCCCAGCAATTTTTTCTTAATCTACTGCCTTTTGCTTCCTTGACTTGGCAATACAATAGGATTTTAGTGCAGGGACAATAGAGCAATAATGCTAGACTCATTTATAATCCAAACTTTTCAAACATTTTCCCACATGAAAAGCAGTTAGGATTAATTAAAAAGAAAGCAAAGTGATAAATAAGAAATCTTCCTCTTATAAAGACTTTTAAAAACCTTTGTTCTGAAAAGCAGATATGAATCACTGACAGCATACATTCAGATATTAGCTAGGTGCACTCAAGCTTTCTTCCAGGGTAATTCTGCCCCCTACAGTCTTATCAAATGAATGAAGGTGACTTTAGCTTGAAAGAAATCTGCTAAGTCTCTGATTTAGGCAGGAAGACAATATTTGGTTCATAAAATATCCCTGACCTATTAAATTTGAGGACCCTCTAACATAAAAGGTAACTTCACAGAATTTAACAAGTGGGCATATGAGTGGCTGTGTGATAACCACTGGAAAACAAAATTAAGTTTTATGAAAATCTAATTTTGTTCTCTAGTACTGAAAACATTATTGGTGACAATGTTGAATTTTACCAAAGCCCAATAATTCTGGAAACTAGCAAAGATTAGGAAATTCTCCTGCCTTTTGTTACCCCAAAATAGCTTATTGCAAAGATCTATCCTTCCCAGTAGATAAGATTCAGGGATGCCTCCCCTTGTTTTACTATGACATGGTCAAACAAAGATCCTCCAAATTCGCATATTTTGCCTCATAAATTATTAACTGAATTGCTTGGCCCTACTGATCAATCAGAAAAAAAAACTGCTTGCCAAGTTTCTCTTTCCTTCATGCCCCTGAACTCTGACCCACCATTAACCTGAGCCAAACCATAAACCTTCCGGAGAACAGGCTGGCCTCAGAGTAAAACATTTGATCTAGGATCTGATCGAGTGACCCTTTAATCTTACTTCCTCTGTTGTTTCTAGCTTTGTCTACTCCTTCCTATTGAAGAACAGCCCTTTTTGCCTAAACTTTGAGATGCTTGCAGGTATTACGATCAGAGCTTTATCCCTATTGTGATAGTTCTCCTCCCCCTATTGCAACAGACGTTCACCCCTACTTTGCAATAATCTTTTCAAATAAAGTCTCTCCTTACTAAGTTGAGATTTCTTTTCACTTGACATTTGACAACTAGTAGAAGGAAGTAAATATTGCTGCATTTAGATATATGTGATTGTTGAGAATTGAAGACTCTAAGTACTAATTTGATGTATTTAGTGAATTATAAGTGTTAAATAATATAACAGAGTGCACGAAGATATATATATTTAAGCATCTGCTATGTGCAAAGGTATCTTCTACCAGGACACAATTAAACAAATCCATTTGTTCAGAAAGCACATACGTTAGTGCAGAAGACTACAATAAAATCATCATGAGATGAGTTGACGGAAATATACACAAAATGTTATGCAAACATTTGATAAAGTCATTTATTTTGAATGCCTAGCGTGGGTAGCAGGAAAATAATGTGACAGGAAAAGTTTTACAATGGAGGTGATATCTGAGAAGAGCATTAAATGTTGAGACATAGGGTTTTGTTAGATGAGCAAACTGTGAATAAGCTGCATTTGGCATTGGGAACAAAGTGATCACAGAAAAAACAAGATATAACATGGCTTGTCTGGATAGTAAAAGTAATTGGAATTGATGCAATTGTAGAGCATGAATGCAAAACAATTGAAGGGGAGCTGGAAAGATGAGCAAACACAAAGCAGCCTTTTACAAAACTATGCAGAATGGGCACTGCACAACTCCAAGGAGTGTCATTCATATTGATGTCAATTTGAATGGCTCTTCCTGGAGTTGTGTATAGCCATATGCAATAATTAATAGAGTATTTTTATGCTAAGTGTATATGGTAAGATGAGTCTGGTAGCAAATAACAGAAACCAAATCTGTCTGCCTTCAGATTCAAGGGGATTAATGGGAAGGACATCAGAGGTTCATGACAATGATATGGGGCTGGAGGAGAGCCAGGGCATTTTGGCAGGTTACAGAACAGGAAGTTAGAGAGCCAACTTTTAGCAGGAGCAATTTGGCCAGAGTGCTACTGACTGAGGTACAGGGTACTACCAACATCATTGCTGTGAAATAATTGTAGCCATCTCTCATTGTTGCAGTATTTTGTTCTATATTCAATCTTCTAGGTGAGAAGCCTCTCACCAAGCCTGAGCTGGGCTCTTCTCAATGGAAAGTCTACAGAGTAGAGATTATCCTCAAAATTGTAAGGAGGTACTGGACATGAACAACCAAACATGAGAAATATTTTTGAACATGACCTAAAGCTTAGACTTTATTTTCTAAGGAAGGAATTGGCAAACATTCTCTTAAAGGATCAGATAGTAAATAGTTTAGGCTTGCCAGCCATATGGTCTCTGTGGCATCTAATCAATTCTTGAAAGCAGCTATGCACAATACCAAATCAATGGGCATGATTATGTTCTAATAACACTTTGTTTACCAAATAGGTGGTCTGACTACTGGTATTAGCTTGCTAAAGACCCCTGTTCTCAGAGATGTGAAGGCTTTACAGAGTTGCAAGTCTTTGTCATATGTAATCAGTTGGCCCTTTCCTCTATGACTAGATGAGGTGGCAGCTATGAAAGGAACAAAAAGTCATAGTCTGTGTTCTTAATAAAGTTATACAGTAATAGATGAGGCCAAAATAAAATATACAATAATTGTAATACTTTATTGCACATAATAACAAAATTAATTTGGAAGTATTCACATTTTCTCATCTTGCCCCCAAATTGTAGAATTACAAATCTAGTTTAGCCCAGGACCAGATGGATTCACAGCCGAATTCTACCACAAATTCAAAGAAGAGCTGGTACCATTCCTTCTGAAAATATTCCAAACAATTGAAAAGGGGGGACTCCTCCCTAACTCATTTTATGAAGCCAGCATCATCCTGATACCAAAACCGGGAAGAGACACAACAAATAAGAAAACTTCAGGCCAATATCCTTGATGAACATTGATGAGAAAATCCTCAATAAAAAACTGGCAAACCGAATCCAGCAGCCCATCAAAAAACTTATCCACCACAATCAAGTTGGCTTCATCCCTGGGATGCAAGGCTGGTTAAACATATGCAAATCAATAAACATAATTCATCATATAAACAGAACCAAAGACAAAAACCACAGGATTATCTTAATAGATGCAGAAAAGGCCTTTGATACAATTCGACATTCCTTCATGTTAAAAACTCTCAATAAACTAGGCATTGATGGAACACATTTCAAAATAATAAGAGCTGCTTATGACAAACCCAGAACCAATATCATATTGAATAGGCAAAAGCTGAAATCATTCCCTTTGAAAACCAGCACAAGACAAGGATGCCCTCTCTCACCGCTCCTATTCAACATATTATTGGAAGTTCTGGGCAAGAGAAAGAAATAGAGTATTCAAATAGGAAGAGAGGAAGTCATGTTGCATCTGTTTGCAGGTGACATGATATTATATTTAGAAAACCCCATCATCTCAGCCAGAAAACTTCTTGAAATGATAAGCAACTTCAGCAAAGTCTCAGGATGCAAAATCAACGTGCAAAAATCACAAGCATTCTCTTACACCAACAATAGGCAAGCAGAAAGCCAAATCACGAATGAACTCCCATTCACAATCCCTACAAAGAGAATAAAATACCTAGGAATAGAGCTAACAAGGAATGTGAAGGACCTCTTCAAGAAGAACTACAAACCACTGCTCAAGGAAATAAGAGAAGGCACAAACAAATGGAAAAACATTCCACCCTCATGGACAGGAAGAATCAATATCATGAAAATGGTTATACTGGCCAAAGTAATTTATAGATTCAATGCAATTCTCATCAAACTACCACTGACATTCTTCACAGAATTAGACAAAAACTATTTTAACTTTCATGTGGAATCAAAGAAGACCCGTATAGCCAAGGCGATCCTAAACAAAAAGAACAAAGCAGGAGGCATCACACTACCTGACTTCAAACTATACTACAATGCTACAGTAGCCAAAACAGCATGGTACTGGTACCAAAACAGACATATGGACCAATGGAGCAGAACAGAGACCTCAGAAAGAACACCACACATCTACAACCATCTGATCTTTGATAAACCTGACAAAAACAAGCAATGGGGAAAGGATCTCCTATTCAGAAAATGGTGCTGGGAAAACTGGCTAGTCATATGCAGAAAACTGAAACTGGACCCGTTCCTTACACCTTGTACAAAAATTAACTCAAGATAGATTAAAGACTTAAATGTAAAACCCAAAACCATAAAAACCCTACAAGAAAACCTAGGCAATACCATTCAGGATGTAGGCATGGGCAAAGACTTCATGACACAAACACCAAAAACAATTGCAACAAAAGCCAAAATTGACAAATGGAATCTAATTAAACTAAAGAGCTTCTGCACAGCAAAAGGAACTAGCATCAGAGAGAACAGGCAACATACAGAATGGGAGAAATTTTTTGCAATCTACCCACCTGATGAAGGTCTAATATCCAGAATTTACAAGGAACTTAAACACATTTACAGGAAAAAAAAACAACCCCATCAAAAAGTGGACAAAGGATATGAGCAGACACTTCTCAAAAGAAGACATTTACACAGACAACAAACATATAAAAAATGCTCAACAGCACTGATCATCAGAGAAATGCAAATCAAAACCACAAAGAGACACCATCTTACGCCAATCAGAATAGCGATTATTGAAAACTCAAGAAACAACAGATGCTGGCGAGGCTGTGGAGAAATAGGAACTCTTTTACACGGTTGGTGGGAATGTAAAGTATTTCAACCATTGTGGAAGACAGTATGGCGATTCCTCAAGGATCTAGAACCAGAAATACCATTTGACCCAGCAATCCCATTACTGAGTATATACCCAAAGGAATATAAATCATGCTACTATAAAGATAAATGCACATGTATGTTTATTACAGCACTGTTTACAATAGCAAAGACATGGAAGCAACCTAAATGCCCATCAATAATGAGACCGGATAAAGAAAATGTGGTACATATACATCATGGAATACTATGCAGCCATAAAAAGGAATGAGATCATGTCCTTTTCAGGGGCATGGATGAAGCTGGAAGCCATCATCCTCAGCAAACTAACACAGGAACAGAAAACCAAACACCGCACGTTCTCACTCATAAGTGGGAGTTGAACATTGAGAACATGAACACAGAGAGGGGAACAACACACACCAGGGCCTAGTAGGGGGTAAAGGGTGAGGGGAGGGAATTTATAGGATGGGTCAATAGGTGCAGCAAGCCACCATGGCACACATATACCTATGTAACAAACCTGCACGTTTCCCCACTTTTTTTTTAGAAGAAATAAAGAAAATAAATAAACTGTGGCTTGGAGATATGTTTGCCACAATGGAGTTTTCATTTAAGGAAGTCTGCCTGTATCCTACACCAAGCATGTAATACAACTCATATTCATAGAAATTGTCATTAAAGCATAATCACAGTGGAAAATCAACAACTCATCACCCACTCTCTAAAACCTTCTCTCCAGTATCCTCTCCTTGTGTTCCTTTCACTTACCCAAGTACTTCACTATGTAAAGTTCCTCTAAGAACAGAGTTTAAGGCATGGCCATCACAAAGTTGAGTGTGAACAATAGGTGAGATCCCTAATGAATAGTTATACTCCCTTTAAGAAGTCTAAACAATTCCTAGAATCAAGTGGAAGAAAAAAGGTTTGGCTTATCTTCTCTTAAAAATGTCTTAAAGATCCAGTCCATACAGTTTCCATATGGTTGAAAGCAGGTTGATTTGAAGAGGGAACTATGGGTTTTTATGGGGTTTTTGTTTGTTGTTTGGTGTGTGTGCCTGCATGTGCAATGATGTTCTCATTTGTGTGTGTGTTTCAATTTAACCAATGTTGAGGAAAAACATAGGAAGATTGAAACTGCAGTGGTCCCAGAAGCATGCCTTTAAAGTCGTATTTTTGTCAATCTCTAGACTTGAGACTTTTTTTTTTTTGACAGAGTTTCGCTCTTGTCGCCCAGGCTGGAGTGCAATGGCGCGATCTTGGCTCACTGCAACCTCCGCCTCCCAGATTCAAGTGATTCTCCTGCCTCAGCCTCCCAAAGTAGCTGAGATTACAGGCACCTGCCACCACGCCCAGCTAATTTTTTTTTGTATTTTGAGTTGAGAAGGAGTTTTGCCATGTTGGCAGGCTGGTCTTGAACTCCTGACCTCAGGTGATCCAACCCCCCTTGGCCTCCCAAAGTGCTGGGATTACAGCAGTGAGCCACCGCACCTGGCCGACTTGAGACTTTTAAAAGCTCACCAAGCTACTCAATTACTGTTTTTCACATTTGAAAAATAAATGAAGCTTTTTCTAACTTTAAAGTTATATGATAATATGGTCATTTTCAGTTTTAACTCTTTAATAAAGATTCCCCATCTAAACTCTTATTTATTTCTAAATTCCTATGAGTAAGTAGATAGTTGATTATTTGAAACTTTCACTGATTGGGTCCTTTCCACTCAAATAAAGCCAACTGATCCACAGAAATATACTTAAACCGTCCAGAAGGCAGATCTAAATGTCTCCCTACAATCATTGTATAATAATATATCTTTAATAAAATTCTCTGTAAAATTGATTACTAGGAGGTCTTAAGTGTTTCACAAGCCTAAATATGTTAATTAAAGAAGTAAAATGTGTGTTTCATTGTTTGGTTTTTATATGTTTTATTTTTATTAAGCTATTTGCTAGAAAAAATATGTTTCTACAAATAGTGTGCACACCATACCGTGCATCAAAAGTGGAAGTTATTTTGGCAAGAACAGAATCCTCATTAGCAGTTAGCACTTCCCAGTAAATTTTCAATAATATTAAAATTAGCTATGGATGCATTTATGATACTGTCTTTGTTCACCTTTTATAACTTAAAGCCACTAGAAATTGTTTTCAAAATATATATATAAATATTCATGAATTACTTTATTAGTATTTTTCATAACTGAAAGATCTGTCTCAAGTCCCACTTGTCTTACCTCTTCAATAATAGGCGATAAGTGATGTATTGTCATTTTTGCAAGCCCAAATGTTTCACATTTGTGAAAGGAAAATTGTGACCAGGAGAATTTGTGATGTGACTTTATATAAAAATATATGTGTGTAAATAACTATGTGTGTGTATATACACACATATATATTCATATATGTACACACATACACATATATGTGCATAAATTCTGTATGTGTGCAAACATATATGTGTGTGTGTTCATACATATATATATCCACCCATCTTTCCACTCACCCATCCATATATCTATTAATTTAGCTTGCTATCTTCCTGTATACAGTATTACTACAATGATAAAATGGGATCAGAGTTTCAAAAAATTTAGAATTCAAAAGATCCTAGCAGGTAACTTGGAGACAAAGAATTTTATTCCCAGAGCTCTAACACTCCAAGAGAGAATCGGTACTAAGAACCCAGTGGGAAAATAATCCACATGTACTGATTCCCAGTTCAATTTCATTCCCCAGCACTACACTGTCTTTGCACAGATATTTGATATAAAGATAGATATATACTGAACCTTAGAAAATAGTGTCAGTAGTAAAACTACTTTATGTGCTGAATACCCTGCTGTCAACAAGATTTTCATTTGAGTTTTGAAATTTACTGATGATTACTGTCAGTCCCACCTCCACCTCCTGTCTCTCCTCCTAGGCATTTTTCAATATGAGGAGGACTTCCTGTCAGATATCAATCAGTTCTTCCAACCAGAATTATCTATTAAAGTATTGTCTTTAAATCAGAGAAAATTGATGTTTATGTCAAAGACAGCTTTGCTGACTCACATACAAAAATTACAAATAGCATTTGACTGCTCTATCCTCAGCTATATGATAACTAGATAAGTGGAATATTCTTTCTACCATAATTTTGTTTTATAGCAAGACACAGGTACTAATTCCATGCAGTACATGCCTAATGTAATGATAAACAGATGATCCCTAGCATAGCTAAACACTTTAAAGAAATTTCTTTCTCAAGTAAGACATTTACCTTTTTTTTTTTTTTTTTTACAATAGAAGAGTTTTGATCTGCCCCTGTCATCCCCAACTGAATTAGTTACATGATTTCCTTTTTTTTTCTTTTTTTTTTTTTTTGAGATGGAGTCTCGCACTGTTGCCCAAGCTGGAGTGCAATGGCGCAATCTTGGCTCACTGCAACCTCCGCCTCCCGGGTTCAGGCGATTCTCCTGCCTCAGCCTCCCAAGTAGCTGGGATTACAGGCGCACAGCACCACACCCAGCTAATTTTTTCTACTTTTAGTAGAGACGGGGTTTCATTCACTATGTTGGCCAGACTGCTCTTGAACTCCTGATCTTGTGATCTGCCTGTCTCGGCCTCCCAAAGGGCTGGGATTACAGCTGTGAGCCACCAAGCCCTGTCGATTTCCATTCTTTATGTTTCCAGCTTATCTATTTCCCAAAGACCAGGTCATATCTGATTACCTTACAGTCTATGAATATATTTTTGTGTGTGTGAAGAGTGGGTCTACAGTAGGAATAAAGTTTGCCTATAGTCATTTTCTATGTTGCTCTAAAATTATTCTAAACTCCTCTAATAAAAACTTACAAAGAAACCAGACAAATGTGCATATGGATATGACTATGAACTAGGAAACATCCAGATGCCTTGGAAAACCCTAAGAGAAGAAGGAATAACTCACGATATGTGGAAATGCAAGTGAGATAGGTGAGCTGGAAAATATATCATCAGTATAAGCCTTAGATTTATTTTGCATAATTGAATAAAATTCTTTAAAAATAAAAAGGTGAGTGTTTTAATTAAACTTGACAAGTGACAATTAAGTTAAACATAATCTTTTGTTTACAATCACTTTGATTGGAGACAGAAGGAAATTAGAAATTAAAGTTTGTTGGCTGGGCACGGTGGCTCACGTCTGTAATCCCAGCACTTTGGGAGGCCAAGGTGGGCGGATCATGAGGTCAAGAGATCGAGACCATCCTGGCCAATGTGGTGAAACCCCGTCTCTACTAAGAATACAAAAAATTAGCCGGGTGCAGTGGCATGCACCTGTAATCCCAGTTACTCAGGAGGCTGAGGCAGGAGAATCATTTGAACCTGGGAGGCAGAGGTTGCAGTGAGCTGAGATCGTGCCACTGCACTCCAGCCTGGTGACAGAGTGAGACTCTGTCTCAAAAAAAGTAAAAAATAAAAATAAATAAAAAATAAAAATAAAAAAAGTTTGTTAGAAGCCATACTGTGATTAGCAACATCTATATGAAGATACACCCTCCAAAAATGTCTCCTGTTTATTGTTTCTTTGTTAGAAGAGCTCTTGATTTTAAAAACGACGCTACAGAGAATATAATTATTTTTCAATCATATGTTCCCCAGTCAACAATTTTGCAGAAATAAAACATACTTGTATCTCTAAACTCAAGATAATTTTCATAACACAATGGTTGGGGAAAATCTTGATTACATTCCAACAACATTTGGTAAGACTTCCGAATCTTGTGTAAATATTTTGAAAAGCCTGCAATGTGTCTTAGAAAGGAATGTGAAACTCTGATATTACTGGGGTTGAGAGAAGTCATGTTACTGCAAACAAAGGATTTTTGTTAACATTAAATTTGTTAATAGATTGTTAGGTGATTGGGAAATGTTGTTTTAAAATATATACACAGAAACATAATAGGTTTTTAAAACATTTGTTTTATTCCATTTCAGGATATTTGTTGGGGTTGTTGGCAAAACATTAACTAACATTTTACAAGATAAAATAGTAAGAAATAGCTTCTTGGTTAATATGTTAAATATACTTTATATTTCAGAACTATTTTAGGTTCACAGCAAAATTGATAGACAGTATAGAGTTTTCCCATATGTCCCCTGCTCCCACACATGCATAGCCTCCCCTATTTGGTACATTTGATACAATTGATGAACTCACATTGACACATTAGTATAAACAATATGACTCCATAGTCCAGATGCCATAGTTTACATTATGGTTTACTTTTGGTGTTGTCAACAATATGGGTTTGGACAAATGTATAATAACATGAAGCCACTGTGAAAGAAAAATTTGAGACAAATTTAGCTGCATTTAACTGAGCAAAGAATAATTCCAGAATTGGACAGCCCTCAGAACCAGTAAAGATTCAGAAAGCTCCACTGAGCAATGTGGGCAGGCAGTATGAAAGAGAAGGGGAGAGAAGGGGAGGGAAGGGAAGGGGAGGGGAGGGGAGGGAAGGGAAGGGGAGGGAAGGGGAGGAGAGGAGAGGGTGAAAGAGATGTACAGAGAATTTGATTGATTTTAGCTGGGTATTTGCCTTACATGTACACAGCCTGATCAATTGACCACCTGTGATTGGCTGAAGCTCAGCTGCTGTCATTGGCTGAGACTCAGCTATTTGTTACAAGAATATATTCTTAAGATAGGTTGAAGTATGTTTACATACTAAGTTAGGGTGTAGTTTGCTATGTAGGGATTCAAAGTATGAAGTCAGCTTTAGGCCAAACTTAGTTTAACGGCATCATTATAGTATCATACACAGTAGTTTCACCGCCCTAAGCACATCTGTGTTCCTCAATTTCCTGGTTAATATTTTGATACAAATTGTCTTATGATCATGAATGGATTCCTAATGTTAAACAGGAGATACTTTTACAAATAATATTTTGTTTACTTTGTTTTACAAAAATATCATCTTATCTTTACCACAACACATTAATTTAGTTATTATTACCATTTGCAAATAAGGGAACTGAGGCTAAGAGAGGTTAAATAACTTGCGCATGGTCACATAGCTCATGAGTGGAGGAGATCAGAATCCAATTCAATAGCTCCGAAAGTTTTAAATATGTAGGAGTACTAAGTTCAACCAATCAAATATTTATTAAGTTTCTACTGTATGTAACATTTGCTATTAGGCATTATGGAGGGCAAAGAAAAATACCTGGGGTCAGGTGCAGTGGCTCACATCTGTAATCCCAGTGCTTTGGGAGGTTAACGGCGGAGGATCTCTTGAGGCCAGGAGTTTGAGACCAGCCTAGGCTACATATGGAGAGTCTAAATCTACAAAAATAATTAAAAAATTAGCCAACCTTGGTGGCACATGCCTGTAGTCCTTGCTACTCAGGAGGCTGAGGTGGAAGCATCATTTGAGACCAGGAGTTTGAGGCTGCAGTGAGCTATGTTCATGTTAATGCACTCCAGCCTGGGTAATGGAGTGTTTTTGCATTACTGGAGTTTCCCATCAAGTAGAAGGAAAGTGCATACATTTCTTTATTATAAAGATCTAAAAGGAGATTTAAAAGTTAGGAAGATGAAAAATGGCAAGTACTTATGCAAACAGGAGTTTTATAGGCCATCTTGATGAAAACTATATTTAATATAGGACTTGAAGAATATAGATCTTGCATAGGAATTTGATATGAGCTAGGGCATAAAGGGTAGGACATTGCAACCACAGCCTACAATGGGAACAAAGGCCTGGAAGCAATGGTGTCATATCAGGGAGATGTAGGCATGCATATCCTCAGAAGCACCTTCCTTTTTTCTTTCCTTCTTTTCTTCCTCTCTTCCCCCATTTATTTATCTACCCAGAACGTGTTTATTTAATATCCACTATGTTTCAGGAACTGAATAGTAAAACACAGATTGATCCATTCTTAGTATACACACATTTTTTTTTTATTGGAGGAAGGGGTAGAGATCTGTGATAGAGCATAGCAAGCAAAATTTTATTTTAGATGAGCTGGTCAGGAAGGTCTCTCCATGGAAATGACGTTTAAGCTGAGACGTGAACGATGAAAATGCAGTAATATTGGGAGAATCAGAATGACATTAGGAAGGACTTGCACATTTTCTTTTATTCTATATACAATAAGCTTTCAAAGATGTTTGAAGAGTCTGATGGTTAATATTGAGTGTCAACTTGATTGGATTGAAGGATGCAAAGTATTGTTCCTGAGTGTGTTTGTGAGAGTGTTGCCAACAGAGATTCACATTTGGGTCAGTGGATTGGAAGAGGCACACCCACCGTCAGCCTGGGTGGGCACCATCTAATCAGCTACAAGTGTGGCTAGGATAAAATCAGGCAGAAGAATGTGGAAGGACTAGATTGGCTGTCTCCCAACCTTCTTCTTTCTCCCGTGCTGAATGCTTCCTGCCGTCGAACATCGGACTACAAGTTCTTCAGCTTTTGGACTCTTAGACTTACATAAGTGACTTCCCAAGGGGCTCTCGGGCTTTTGGCCACAGACTGAAGGCTGCTCTGTCAGCTTCCCTACTTTTGAGGTTTTAGGACTTCTTGCTTCTCAGCTTGCAGACAGCATATTGTGGGACTTCACCTTATGATCGTGTGACTCAATACTCCTTAATAAACTCCCTTTCATATATATATATATCCCATTAGTCCTGTCCTTCTAGAGAACTCTGACTAATACAAAGACAGAGATTATAGTCTAATGGAGGAAGTAGGAATTTGTGTTTCCCCTGAAAAATAAAAAGTCTCCAGGAAATGACACCATAATGGAGCCCAACTTTTCCACCCATTGCAAATGCCACTTTTTAAAAAAATGACTATCTCCCTTTGGTCAATCTGTAGTGCACTAAATTTGTTGAAGGCTGTGGGCACTAAGAACTAAGCAGAAGAAGCAACTTGATTATAGTAGAGTAGTTTGAATTTAAGCAAAATTCTGTCCTTGAAATATACAGATGTTTTTGTAATAGAATTTGAAAATTTTGTGGGTTTCTTTGAATAATGAACCCAGACCCTGCACCCAGTTACTCTCCTTAAGAGCTATTATGACACCTAATTAGTACCATAAAATGGAGAGTACACTTAAGATAGATGTGAAGTAAACAATTGCCCACACCAGACCCTGTTATATCTGCTGGTGGAAATGCAGCTCTTCCCCCTGGGTGAAAGAGGCAACCGTGCTCTTTGTGACTGGAGGTTGTTGAACAAAATCAGCAACCTCACTACAACATGATCATGTAAAGTGCTGGGCCTGAAGAATAACTAATAATAATGGTTAACCATTTATTCTCCCTTGAGCTCAGTATCCCATCCTCTCCTCCTCTTTCTACTAGGCTTAGGAAAAGCAGAAGATAGGTTTAAAACTTGTTTTCAGGGCCAAAATGTTCAAATGTACAGGTTGTGTGCTGAGTATATCTAAGGTGTGTCATTCACTTTATTGTTTATATGAATAGTGCCTCCTGAGGTTCTATAATGCACAATCCATGAATCTGTATATGACTTCCTGCTTGACTTGATTTTATTCATATATTATGGGCCTTTATGTTGATCATTCATTTTTACATTCTATGCATTTTGAGTAATACAAACCTAGTATTGGTTTCATCACTGAAGCCACAAAACTGGGTTTTAGCTATCTCAATATATCTATATTTACATATAGGCAACAAGCAAAATTATATACATATGGCATATAATTTTATTTATTTCTCATAACAATACTAAGAAGAGGGTTTTTTATTATAAACAATGAGACATTTGCAGAGATGTGAAGTAACTTCCTAGTGAACAACAGAGCTGAACCATGGCTCAGAGAACCATATAAGATAGCTGAAAAGTGAAGAAAGGCTAGAAGCAACACATTCACAGAGTCAGCAGTAATAGAAAACTCATCAAGAAAATAAATCTGGATAGAGCCAGGAAAAAAAAAGAAATCAGAAGTGGGATGAAATTTTGCAATATAATCACATTTTTATTTCTATAATTAGATGTAAGCATAAGGAAGAGATAAAGATAATTCCCGTGTCAAGCCTATGTAAGTGGAAGGCTTAAGATATGTTAACCTGAGTCTCATGTTTTGATTGAAAACAACCACCTGTATCTATTCCATAGGCCTTGTTTAAATCTAAACATATTCTTTATCACTGTAACTCTAGGAAAATGACTTTATTTTCCTTGGCCTCAATGCCTTCATCTGCAACATGAGAGTAGTAATATCTACCTCGCATGGGACTTGAAATCAAATAAGTAAGACACAAGCAGAGTCTCCAGCATTTATAGTCACTCAATGAATAACTATTAATGTTATCATTAATCTCTGGTATGGGAAAACTATTATATAATAAAATGATCTGTAATTCATTATTTTGAAAATCAAATAGAATGCAAATAATTTCAAATACTACACCCTTCCTTTTTTAATTCTCACCCCGCAAGAGTTGTGCTTCAGACAACAAAAAGAGAGTAATTTCTACTTCAACTGAAAAGTAATCTTAATAAGTTTTTTCATCATGTGCCACCATATGCTAAATATGACCATAAATCTTCACTACCCCTCCAATTGAAAGATAGAGTATTATCTTTTACTTTTGAGTTTGGGCTAACCTAGTGACTTGCTTGCTCAAACGAATGCAACAGAAAAGGTGTTCTTGAAATTCTAAGGCCAGGCCATAGGAAATATGACAGTTACCACCCAAGCCTCTTGTAATGCTCACTCTGGGGGAAGCCAGTCACTAACAATTCCAACTGCTTTGAAATTTCCAAATTATGAGGAATCCCAACCTGCATGGAAAATTTTCATAAAGAACGGAAGAAAGTGTAAGGAGAGACAGAGAACAGCAGTCCACAGTTTTTTCAACTATACCAACTCAGAGAGAAGATACGTGAGTGAAGAGGTCACCTTAAATATTCCGGCCCCAATAGATGTGATGTAAAGAGAATCTTAGACAGAACCAAGGATCCCAGACTTATAACCCAAGTTAAGTCATCTATTTTTACCTCTAGCCATTGAAGCCAGCACAGCTGAAGCCCCAGTCATTGTGGCACAGTGATATGCCTTTCCCAGGATGCTTGCCTTAATTTTTGACCCAAAAGTCCTGATTATAACAATTTTTTTTTCTGTCTACCATGGAATTTTGGAGTGGTTTGTCACACTGCAACAGATATCTGGGGCATATGCCTTGGGAGTTCTAATAGTTCTAAAGCCACAGAATAACTTCTACCCATAGGCAGGGAAAATGAAATATCTTGCTTATTTTCAGTCTTCTTTTGAGTCATAGAATCTTTTCAGGAGCTTCTTCAGACTGAGTAAATAGAAGAGAATTCTTGATTCCAAAACTCCATCATTACAAGCTACAATGGAAAAGCCAAATTCTGCTTGCACATACCCCATTGTTGTGCAAGTCATAAACAATTGATTGTTTCCTGAAGTCATAAACAATATCTGGGCCAAATTTGTAAGTACTTGAAACTGATTAAAAGTAGGCAATATTCCATCTTCAACCTTCTTCCCTCCAACTCAACTTTTGATGATGCTCTAGTTAAACTCCAGGCTTCCTGATGCACCTCCAATCTCTAAAATAAGTAAAGAAGGGGGATCTTCAGAAGACTTCAGATATCCAGCATACAAGAGATCAAAGAAAGACCAGAGCAGCAATTGTACTGTCCAGAGGAAAAACTGCTGAATGTACACTGCCATATCCAGAAGGAAAGCCACTAGATGAGAGAACTGAGCATACAGCACAGCTATATTGTTGACTAGTATTGGAAAAATTAAGGTCAATAAATAGGTTTCTGGAATGATGAGCCCGACGCCATATTACTTGCACCAGAGTTGGGACTTAACCAGCGTCAAAACAGTCCAAGACCCAGAATCATTACACTTTTAGCCCATGTCAGGGAGCACCAAACTTTTGGGGCTATTAATTGATGTGTTATGTTTCTGTGCATAAATTTTACTGTCTAGTAAGACTAACTCCTGGTCTTCGGGTATCTTGCCTGCAATTTTTATTGTAAGCTCTCTGCTCCCTCTTAGGCCAAAATGTATGGCCTCAGCATCAGATGTTATTTATTGTTGGTGCTTCTGTCCACCAAGGAAAGATAGAAATATAAAAGCAATCCTGGCTCTCTGACTTTCCCTCATAACCCCCTCCTTTCTCCTTTTCCCTCTCTCCAATAAATTAGCCAATTTTTTTCTCTGTCCAATATATCATCATGGTTAATCAATTGTGCTTCTTGGTATCTCTTAATTTTTTTCATTTTAATATAATTCCATTGTCCTGACTCAGATCCTTGTCTTGCTAGGCTTCCTGCAGCTGCCCTCCATATATTTCTGCTTCCCCATGACAACAATTTCTTCTCATATTCATTCTGAACACAGCTACCAATATTATTATTCCTAATTTGCAAATTTGATCATCAATTATCTGCCTAAAATCTTTATTATTTTTCCACTGACCTGAGAGAAAGTCCAACTTCTGAATATGTCATAAAGGTCCTCATTTTCCTGTCTTGGTCTGACAATTTAGCTAATCTCTTCACACTTTATACACCAGTAATTAAAACGTGCTATCCTTATTGTTTTACAACTGTTAGCAGTTGCTGTTCTCGCTGTCAAGAATGTTTATTTCCTTTCACTCACTTAGAAAAGCTCCTATTCATTCTTTAAAACCCAAACATACACATGACCTCATCAATGAAACCTATTTTCACTTCCTCCACCAAATTAAATCACTCTCCCTTCAAAATTCTAAAACTACACACATATGGTACTTCTGTGTAGCTCAACTGTTTGTTACACATTAATGACAAATCAGTTCTTTAAAAGGCATCCATACTTGTATCCCCAACATCAAATAACATGTCTGACATTTAATAAGCACTGAATACTTGAATTAACTATTGAATTGAATTGACTACTCTCGAGAACACTAATGATTGTTAGGGTTTCCTGAATCAGGAGTACAAATTCATCTTGGATTTTTTTAATACTGCTAGTCTTGATTGAGGGAAGATGATCATTAAGTTTAAAACAGACTTCCCTCTGTGAAGAAAATATCTGCAGTCAGAAATAATAAATAAACTCACAAGTCTATAGAGGAAACTGGGTGGTCTGGTGCTTTTGTTCTCACCCAAAGACCTGCTGAGATTTGATTCGGAGGGGGAAGATTGGTTTTCTTGCTTAAGTTAAACGAGGCATCAAATAAATGTCAAAACCTTGATATAGTCTTAGATTCTTCACGTCACACCAATAAAGTTACTATCCTTCCATCTCCCTTAGAACAAATGCAAGAAAGCCTGCTGTGGGCCCCCAACAAAACAGTGACTGTAAATTTACTCGGTTCCTTAAACTTCCAAACTGTGTATTGAAAGTGAATAAATGCCCTGTAATTACACACATGTAAGCAGATTATTTTCATCAATAATGGTTTTATATTTTAAGAGAAGTATTTTTCCATCCAGAATTTAGTCACAATGTCTTATATCTGAAATGTTTAAATATAAACATTTAATAATTAAGACTACGATTAGAAGGCCTTATAGTATTAGCAAACACTTATTATAAAGAGATACATTTATATCAACCCAAACTAAACTTCCAGTTAAAGAGATACATTAATATCAACCCACACTAAACTTCTAGGACTTCAGAGGGAAAAAAAATAAAACATGACAAAATGCAAAAGATACACAAAGTACTTACTTTAGCTTTGTACCAGTGAAGGTAACAGTCTATTGTACAGATTGAAATAAGGAAAGCAATGAAAGAATAAAACTTTTCAACTGATACAACAAGCTGTCTGTTAATGCTGGTTGAACTCATGGGCAAATACTACTACTGCGCATTTCCACTTAATGAGACAGGTTTATTTTAACACTGTCACCACTGGTTTTGTTCACTAAGACCATGAAAATTTTAGCATGCATATGTACACTTGAGTTGAGAGTCAGGAGACTTCTTAAAGTGTGCACTCCTGGCCCCTGTTTCAAAAGATTATTAAGTAGTTGGAATAGGTTGGAACCAGGAATCTCTATTTTATGAACTGAGTTGAAGATTCTGATGTGGAAATTCTTCATACAAAACTTTCAGAAACTCTAGTTTAAGTAGGCAGAGTTTCAGGGCTTATTTTGTGCAGAATAAACCTGGTATATTCTTATTGTCCTATACCCTTTTCTTTTCTCTCTCAAAACTTTCTGGCTTAGTGATAACTTGTATGACGTATTTGTCCCATTAGTCTTAGGACACAAAGGCATCTTTCCATAAGTTTAAAGATTCTATAGACTTTAAACCTGCTCAGAAACCAGAGAAACAGTTGACCCTTTAAAGGGTACAGGGGCAAAACAACTTGGCCCAATTAGAGAGGTATGCAATCTTCCAGAAGCACCTGAAGAATTGCCACTTTCTCCTTGGAATCAATTGTGCCAAACAGACTTCATTAAACCAGTTAAAATCACTTACATTGGTTTCATTAGGATTTACCCACACTCCTGGAATTTGACTTGAGCTGAGCTAGCTTTTCCTATGTGAAAATTTGATGAGCCATTTGAATCGCAGTATTCAATTTCTGTTTTCTCACCTCTTTGAACACATCTTTAGCCTTTTCTCCCTTATGAGAAGATTATTATGCACAAGAACCAGGGCATAATTTATATGATTTCACTGTAACAGCAAATCTCTATTGTGATTCCAAGAAATTCACGAGTGCTTTGGAATTAGTGCAATGAGTATGTGATCTCATATTTATTTACTCCTAGTGCTGTCATCATACTGATAAATTCTGTCTACACAAGAAAACATTTATATTGTTCAAATGTCTGCAGATAATTTTTTTTCCTTACAACTTTAATATTGGATTGAAGGGGTACATGTGTCATTTGTTACATGGGTAAATTGCTTGACATGGGGGTTTGGTGTACAGATAATTTTGTCACCCAGGTAATACCCAATAGTTAGTTTTTCAATCCTCACCTTCCTCCCACTTTGCAATCTCAAGTAGACCCCAGTGTCTATTGTTCCCTTCTTTGTGTCAATGTGTACTCAATGTTTAACTCCCACTTACAAGTGAGAACATGCAATATTTGGATTTCTGTTCCTATGTTAGTTTGCTTAGGATGGAGCTCCAGCTCCATCCATGTTTCTGCAAAGGACATGATTTCATTCTTCTTTATTGTTGTGTAGTATTCCATCATATATATGTACCATGTCTTTATGCAGTCCACTGTTGATGCGCATCTTGGTTGATTCCATGTCTTTGCTATTGTGAATAGCACTGTGATGAACATACGCATGCATGTGTCTTCGTGGTAGCATGATTTATTTTCTTTTGGGTATATACCCAGTAATGAGGTTGCTGGTTCAAGTAGTAATTCTATTTTAAGTTCTTTCAGAAATCTCCAAACTACTTTCCACAGTGGCTGAATTAATTTACATTCCCACCAGCAGTGTACAAGCAATCCTTTTTCTTCATAACCTTGCTAGCATCTGTTATTTTTTTACTTTTTAATAGCCATTCTGACTGGTGTGAGTTGATATCTCATTGTGGTTTTGATTTGCATTTCCCTAATGATTAGAGCTATTGAGCATTTTTTCATATACTTGGTGGCTGCATGTACATCTTCTTTTGAGATGTGTCCGTTCATGTACTTTGCCCATTTCTAATGGGGTTGTTTGTTTTGCTTCATTTGTTTAAGTTCTCTTGTTATACCTTTGTCACGTTCATAGTTTCCAAATATTTTCTCCCATATATCAAATGAACAAACATTCTGCCATAGAAGGTTTGGCTCTGTTTCAGAATGGTTGGCTGATATCAGCATCCATACTTATTTTTCATTACCCTTTACTCTCTAAAGAAGACTTAATTTCATATGATTACTTAGCATTCCTGATTTGATCTACTTCAGTCTACACCTACCTCACTTAGTTAACATATTTGTATAGTATTTCTTGCCAGTTAAGTTAAAATATCTGCCAAATCTTTTCCAAACTACTATTTTCTGCATTCAACACATATATCCTAACCGAGAACTTGCCTGACCTGGTGCTAGGTGCTAGGGTCACAGTTAAGAAGTGCAGTGCTGATCAAGAAATGGGTTGAATTTTAAAGAAGGCAAAAGAATAAATACATAATGACCCTCTGTGTGGCGGATGCTCTGAGAGAGATTCAGACACATGGTGTAATGGAATGATGTAGGAAGAGCAATAGGGATTGCTAATAAAAGGTCAAATCTCCTTAAATTTACATGATATCTGAATTATATCTTATAGGACTAGTAGCAACTCACCAATGGAATGAGGGCATGAATTTTATTCTAGGCCAAGTAAAGAATGCGTGCCACAATAGAGATGCATAAAAGAGCTTCTAAAAATCAGGGATCAGTAAGCAAAACATTTTGGCTCAGTCATCACGATCTGGGGTAGAAGACGTAGAGGTCTGAGTACTTTAGCAAAAGATGAAGAGATGGGGCCACAGAGGTAATAAGTGGCCTTGTCTATCATGCCTAAGAGCTGAACTAGATCTTCTACACAATGCACACTCCATGTGATTTTAGTAAAAAGAACAAAATGATTTGATTTTTAGAATTATCATACTAGCAGAGGTGTGAATAATAGATTGTAGTGAAGTTAATTGTCCCACTTATGGAGTGGTGGCATTAATTAGGTGAAACATGTATAAACTCCTGAAATACAGCCGTGGTAGTTGCATGTATATTGTATGGATACAGATTCAAGAAATAATAAAGAAGCAGGGTCGAGCAAATTTGGTGACTGCTTGGAAAATTTAAAGACAGCCCCAAATATATAATTTAGGTGAGTGTATGGATCGTGGGAGGCTCCACTGTCATAAGGAATGCAGTATAACTAGTTTGTCACAGTAAAGGGAGAGATGATAATTCAGATGGGATGCCTGAGAGCTGAGATTCCACAGTCAATTTTTAGTGGCAATGTCAATCTACCTATAATAAAATATCAAGTATGCTTCTAAAATTAGAATTAAGATGCTACCTGAAGTCAAAGAAGTACAAAGTATTTCCTGTAAAAGTATGTTCCATGGTAATAGATGAGGAAGATGGATAGAATCCCTTGGCACAGGAGTAATTACAAAGGAGAAAGAGGGAAAGAAGAGAGCAAAGATAACCAAGACACGAAAAAAAAGGGGTAGAAAGACAATAAACATTTTTTAATAGCCCTATTTTTTCTCCCCTACTCACCCAAGAGAGCCTCTGGGGAAGAGCTAAGCAGCCATTTGCCTCAGCTGAGTACAGTTTGATGTTATATCAATAATAGTAGCTAATGCAGCAATTACCAGGTACTAGGCACTACTCCAAGAACCAAACATATCTTAACATAGTCAGTCTTTTCAATAAATGTATAAAGAAAGTATATTACATTCATATACGAGAATATCACACAACTAGCAAATGTCAGGCATGAGATTCAAATTTTGGCCCTCTGTCTCCAGGGTCTGTGTGTTTGATAATTAAAGGATACTACTTCTTCAGTTTGAACATCACTTATCTAATGTAAACACATTGTGCCTAAGGGGGAAACAAGGCCATGAGACGTTTAATGACTTTTCCAGTGTCACAGTGCATTGTAGTAGCAGAGTTAGATTTAAAACCCATTTCAAGAAGTCCTACTAGAGTATTGTGGCCTATGAGCTACCATGCAATTGAAATGTGAAGACTAGCAGTCTTTACTTTTTTTAATCCTTGTTATTTATTATTTTATTAAATAAAAGTCATTAGTTTTCACATTTTCAACTTCTTCCTGAGATTTGTTTTTTCTTTTAAGTCCTTTGAGTGTCTCTCCCATTCTACCCAGTTACCCTTCCAAAGCAATGTTGTTTTCCAAATTATCCAGCAAAAATATATGTTTCAATTTATTTAACAGTGGACATTAATGACAGATGCTTTACTGAAGGATGAAATGCAGAAATAAATGAAAGAGTAGTGTTGAAATTGAACAATGCATATGTAATGAATGAAGGAACAAAGTAACAGTTCAACATAATGCCGTTAGTAAGTGCCAGAAGATGATTCTCCATCTAATGGAACAAAAACTATTCTTCCACTTAGGGAAAATGAAGTATATTTTGTTCCCTAGAGTATTCTCATAAATATTAGCTATTGGACACTTTAAAGATAATATAATGATAGAGTGATGCTTCACATGTACACATATAGTCATTTATAACTCTTGCTGGCCTTATAATATGTGTGTGCATATGCGTATGTATATTTTCCCACAATAGTTATGATGATGCAAAGATACACACACGAACACAACTTTGCATAGTATTCAATTTGTAGCTAATAGGAGTAAAAGAAATACAAAGATTTCTAATATATATATATAATCAATATCTGATTGTATATTTAAAAAGAACAAACACTGTTTTGAAATAATGATTATTAAAAATGGGAAACGGCACATATGCTCATATATTATTTCATAGCTGTACAGAAACTCTGGAATCCTAGAACTTGAAATTTTGAAATGTACAGTTTTCCCACAGTACTCATGGGGAATTTGTTCAACGAACCCCCACAGATACCAAAACTCATGGATACTCAAGTCCCTTACATGAAATGGCATTGTATTTGCATATAACTTACACACGTCCTCCTATATGCTTTAAACAATCTCTAGATTACTTATAATACCTAATACAAGTGCTGCATAAGTAGTTCTTATGCTGTATAATTTTAAAATTTGTGTTATTTTTATTGTTGTAGTTATTTTTATTGTGTTTCTGGAATATTTTTCATCTGTGATTGGTTGGATTCATGGATACTGAGCCTGAGGATATGAATGGTCAACTGTGTTTTTCTTCTCCTATGCAATTGTTTTGTGGTATGCAATGCTTTTCATGAGATTTAATGTAGTAGAGCAGAGAATGAGTGGCAATCCTAAAGGGAAGTCTTGCAGAGCGCTTTAAATCCTACATATATGGAAAACAAACAGCTGAAGACTAGGAGATGAATCAACTTCTTTAAAAGACAAAAAAAAAAAAAAAAAAGTACAGATGTGTGTTAGACAAACAGCTTGACCAAATTTGGTTCTTAAGAAACACACACATGGTTGATATTAAATCGGCCGCCAGTGCACTGACACTCTGAAAGTAGGCCATGATTTCTAAATAATCTCACTCTATTTTTATATCAATTAATAAATCCTTCCAAGACTAAATGAATTGGATACAAAATAGCTGTGTATAGAGAACGGTTGAAGAAGCTTTTTTTCACCTTACATTTTGACAGAAAAGGGCAATGGTACTTCTGATAGATAAGCTGCCTGAGGGAATGCAAAGGGCTTAGATACTTGAACAAGCCCAAACTGCTGTCAAAGTGCCAGCCATGGGTATATTCCATGTTACTGGACAGAAAACAGTCCTAAAAGAAACATAGATGGTGTCTTCTGTTTCTTGTAATGATAAAGATACAGTTCACTTTACCAAATATAAAAATAGTATTGAAGGAGTGGCCTCCATATACGAGAAAAGGAGAGAGAATCGCCAACCACATTAATTCCTGTTAATTCTTCTCAAAAGCATGCATATTTCAAAGCATCGTGTTGTACACCATAAACGCATACAATTTTACCTGTCAATTTAAAAATAAAGTTAAATAGAAAAAATAGAAATGCATTTTGGTGCAAAGAGAACTATGAAAAGATTACAAACTTTCTGACATGAATGATCTGCAAGAGAATCTCTTTCGTAAAGTTATTCAATTAGTTGCACTGGAAATTTTAAATTAAAAGATCTAATGTTAATGAAATTGTTAAAAGTTTTTAGGAACCTGCTGAATTATACATCTAGCAAGAGGTGGACAAGGAAGTCAAGTATTTAAGAAGAGTCATCCTCAAACTTTAGTATACATGAGAATCACCCAGCGAGAAGTAAAAATCCAGTTTATCAGTACATAGCCCCCAGACCAACTAAATCAAAACCTCTTTCAGTGAGACCCAGGCGTTACTATTTTTAAAACTTCCCTGGTAATTCCAGTGTGCAGTTGAGTTTAAGAACTGCTGTTTTACTACAGTTGAAAGGTTTCTTTTAGTGATATTCTGGTACAGGTTAAAGAAAGAGATTAAATGTTACAATCAGGTCAAAGCGAGTTAGGTGTCTTAAAGCATTTCCCTAAGGCTTATGTGTTCCCTTTTTTTTTGTCTTTTAAGTAGGATGATGATACATACCCCATTAGGTAACTGTGAAACTTAAATTAAGGTTAATGTACACAGTAATTGAAACCTGACAGTTATTAAGAAGTGTAATTATTTTTCTCCTCTTCATACATTTATACTGTCACTCATGAAAGTGCTTTCATTACATTTGTCCTTAATTTATTTCATTTCCTCTTCTTTTCTTCTTGTTCCTCCTTCACCTCACTTAAGCCCTCCTCCACATGCATTTTACCTTTTCTCCCCTTTCTTTCTGATTCTATCTTCTGTATTTGCCCTTCTTTCTTTGCTTAAGTTCAGTGTCACTGATGGGACTTTGAAATGAAGACTTTGAGAACTTGTTTTCAGGTATTCTGTGATTGTTTCAGGTATTTTAATCCCAAATTAAGATTGGTTTTACTTCAGCAGATAGCATTTTTCTTCCTCCAGCTTTCGTAACAGCCAATCCCCAAATAACATACACAAATTATTTCCCGTATATGCTTTGGCCACTGGATGGTGCTCAGAGTACACATTCGGTGTTCCATGATTAAGTTACTTCATCCTACTGAGTTAAAATGTATCCAGAAACCATACAACATTTAACAACTTTTGAGAAGGCACTGGTAAGATGGGGAGACTTAATTTGAGGAAAGTATACCTGAGTATAATATTAGCTACTCGAAGGTCAGTACCACCCAGAAGGTTAAAGATGTACGAGTCCTATATCCCACATATACAAATGGAAATGACTTGGGCTGGGCATAGTGGGTCACGCCTGTATTACCAGGACTTTGGGAGGTTGAGACAGGAGTATTTCTTGAGGCCAGGAGTTTGAGACCAGCTTGGGCAACATGGCGAAACCCCATCTCTACAAAAAATACAAAAATTAGCCAGGTTTGGTAGCTCATGCCTGTAGTCCCACCTACTTGGGAGGCTGAGGTGGGAGGATCACTTGAGTCCAGGTAGTGGAGGCTGCAGTGAGCCATGATCACACCACTGCACTCCAGCCTGAATGATGGCCTGATACCTTATCTCAAAAAAAAAAAAAAAAAAAGAAGAAAATAATTGGCTTGGTGGTAATAGGAACATAGCTAAGAATTGTGTCTTTGCAGTGTTATTTCTGTGATAACACATGTGAATTTTGGAATAAAATGGCTACATTCAAAACCCTTCACCTAAATTTACTACTGCTATCAGTTAGGATATTTAATAGGGCTACATAGCAACCATACTGCTGCTCAAAAAAGAGTGGCATACATTTTCAGTTCAGATTTAAATATATAATTTTTGTTTTCTATAAATAGTTTTACAAGACCTTATGCATGGGTTCAGAAAAGAAAAACTGATGATTAACAAAGGAACTGAACAGAACACTATCAATCAGAGCAAGCCTGGATTGCTGAAGTGAACTGATGAAGTCACTGGAGAAATACAGCCTAGGAAGTATTTCTAGGTTTTATGTCTGAATTGTAAGCAATTAAAAAAAATAATGGGGGCCGGGCGTGGTGGCTCACACCTGTAATCCCAGCACTTTGGGAGGCCGAGGCAGGCAGATCACGAGGTCAGGAGTTTGAGACCAGCCTGGCCAACATAGTGAAACCCCGTGTCTACTAAAAAATACAGAAAATTAGCCGCGCATGGTGGCAGGCACCTGTAATCCCAGCTACTCGGGAGGCTGAGGCAGGAGATTGCTTGAACTGGGAGGCAGAGGATGCAGTAAGCCGAGATTGTGCCATTGCACTCCAGCCAGGGTGACGGTGAAAGACTCGGTCTCAAAAAAATAAAATAAATAAAAATAAAAATAAAAAATAATGAAAAAGACTAAATATTTTCTTTTATTAACTTCCTTAAAAAAAAGTTGCCATCCCATCATAGACAATGCTGATGTAAGATCACTGCATAATACCTGGAAGCAAATCAGAAGCAACAGGACATGTGTTGGATTACAAAAGAAATAACAACTATGTCTAACTAAAACTTGCCTAAGGCATCTTTTTAACTTCTAATGTGAGAACATAGATTTTAATATCTGATGCCACCGTATAAAGTCCCTCACTTCTTTAATTCACATATATAATAAATAATAATGTTTTCTCAAAAAATACAAAAGATAAATGAAACAAAGAGCTGATAATTTGAAAAGATAAAATTGATAGACTGTTAGATTAACAAAGTAATGAAGACAGAAGATCCAAATAAGCTCAATTAGAAACAAAACTGGACATATTACAACTGATACCACAGAAATAGAAAAGATGATTCAAGTCTACTCTAAACACCTTCATGAGCACAAAATAGAAAATCTAGAGATGCATACATTCCTCAAAACATACAACCCTCCTAGATTAAATGAGGAAGAAATAGAAACACTGAACAGACCAATAACAAGCAGCAAGATTGAATCAGTAATTTTAAAAATGCCAACAACAGCAACAAAAAGGCCAGGACCAGATGGATTCACAGGTGAGTTCTATCAGACATTCAAAGAACAGTTGGTACCGATCCTACTGAAACTATTCGAAAAGATAGAGAAAGAGAGAATCTTCCCCAAATCATTCTATGAGGCTAATATTACCCTAATAGCAAAACCAGGAAAGGACATAACAACAACAACAAAAACTACAGGCCAATATTACTGATAAATATAGATGCAAAAACCCTAAAAAAATACTAGCTAACTGAATCCAACAGCATATAAAAAAGATAATACATCATGATCAAGTGGGTTTCATACCAGAGATGCATGGATGGTCTAACCACGTACAAGTCAGTAAATGTGATCTATCACATAAACAGAATTTTTAAAAAATCATATGATCATTTCAATAGATGCAGAAAAAGCATTTGATAAAATCCAGGATCCCCTTATGATAAGAACCCTCAACAAAATTGGCATAGAAGGGGCACACCTCAAAGTAATAAAATCCACCTATGACAAGCCCATATCCAACATTATACTGAATGGGGAAAACTTGAAAGTATTTACCCTGAGAAGTGGAACAAGACAAGGATGCCCAATTTTACCACTACAATTCAACATAGTACTGGAAGTCCTAGCCAGTGTGACCAGACAAGAGAAAGAAATAAAATGCATCTAAATTTAAAAAGAGGAAGTCAAACTGTCCCTGTTCACTGATGATATGATCATATAGCTGGACAACCCTAAAGAATCATCCAAAAAGCTCCTAGACATGATAAATTAATTCAGTAAAGTTTCAGGATACAAAATGAATGTACACACATCAGTAGCACTGCTATACGCCACCAACTAAGCTGAGAATCAAATCAAGAACTCAATCCCTTTTACAACAGCTGTAAAAAATAAAATAAAATACTTAGTAAGAAACTTAACCAAGGAGGTGAAAGATCTCTACAAGGAAAACTACAAAACACTACTGAAAGAAATCATAGATGACACAAGCAAATGAAAACACATCCCATGCTTACAGATGGGTAGAATCAATATTGTTAAACTGACCATACTGCCCAAAGCAATCTATACATTCAATGCAATTCCTATCAAAATGCCATCATCATTCTTCACGTAACTAGAAAAAAACCTTAACATTCATATAGAACCAAAAAGACCTTTCATAGCCAAAGCAATATTAAGCAAAAAGAAAAATGAGGAAGCATCACATTATCCAACTTCAAATTATACTACAAAGCTCTAGTTACCAAAACAGCATAGTACTGATATAAAAATAGGCACATAGACCAATGGAACATAGTAGAGAACTCAGAAATAAAGCCAAATATTTATATCCAACTTATCTTTGACAAAGCATGCAAAAACATAAGGTGAGTAAAGGACACCCTATCCAATAAATGGTGGTGGGAAAACTGGCAAGCCAAATATAGAAGAATGAAACTACATCCTTATCTCTAACCTTATACAAAAATCAACTCAAGATGGATCAAAGACTCAAATCCAAGTCCTGAAACGATAAAAATTATAGAAGATAACATTGGAAAAACTCTTCTAGACATTGGCTTAGGCAAGGAATTCATGGCTAAGAACCTGAAAGCAAATGTAACAAAAACAAAAATGAATAAATGGGATCTAATTAAACTAAAAAGCTTCTGCAGAGCAAAAGAAATCATCAGCAGAGTAAACAGACAACCTATAGAGTGGGAGAAAATATTCACAAACTATGCATCCTAAAAAGGACTAATAGCCAGTATCTACAAGGAACTCAAATAAATCAGCAAGAAAAAAACAAATAATCCCATCAAAAATTGGGCAAAGTACATGAATAGACAATTCTCAAAAGAAGATATAAACAGCCAACAAACATATGAAAAAATGCTCAACATGACTATCAGGTAAATGCAAATTAAAACCACAAAGAGATACCACCTTACTCTTGCAAGAATGGCCATAATTAAATCGTCAAAAAATAATATATTTTGGACTGGATGTGGGGAGAAGGGAACACTTTTACACTGCTGGTGGGACTGTAAACTAGTAAAACCACTATGAAAAACAGTATGGAGATTCCTTAATGAACTAAAAGCAGAACTACTATTTGATTCAGCAGTCCCGCTACTGGGTATCTACCCAAAGGAAAATAAGTCATTATATGAAAAAATACACTAATATACACATGTTTATAGCAACACAATTTGCAGTTGCAAAATTACCAAACCAGTCTACATGCTCATCAACCAACAAGTGGATAAAGAAAATGTAGTATATATGCATTATTATGGAATACTTCTTAGCCATAAAAAGGCACAAAATAATGGCTTTTGCAGCAACTTGGATGGAGCTGGAGGCCATTATTCTAAGTGAAGTAGGAATCGACAACTGAATATTGTATGTTCTCACTTATAAGTGAGAGCTAAGCTATGAGCATGCAAAGGCAGAAGAATGATACAATGGACTTTGGGGACTCAGGGGGAAGTGTGGAAGGGAGGTGAGGAATGAAAGACTACACATTGGGTAGTAGTAAAATGCTCAGGTGACAGGTGCACCAAAATCTCAGAAATCACCACTAAAGAACTTATCCATGAAACCAAAAAACTACCTGTACCCCCAAAACTATTGAAATAAAAATAAATTTTAAAAAAAGATAAAAAATAAGGAAATTTCCATAGTGAGACAAGGAATTCCTGAAAAAGCCCTCCTTGCACTTGTCCAGGGGAAGGAACAGGAGAGGTCAGAATGTTCGTGATTTGGCTGCAGTTTCTAAGGCCTTTTCATTTTAGTTCAAAGAGTTAACATGCCAAAGTACCAACATTGTGAGGCATGAATTTCAGGGTCCTAATAATAGTCAGAAAAATGCAATTCTCACCTTCAACACATTTACTAATATATTACCTATAGGCACAGAGGGTCCCAATACAAAAGGGGACCCCTTTATATTATTTTTTGACGATTTAATTATGGCCATTCTTGCAAGAGTAAGGTGGTATCTCTTTGTGGTTTTAACTTGCATTTACCTGATAATTAGTCATGTCGAGCATTTTTTCATATGTTTGTTGGCTGTTCATATCTTCTTTTGAGAATTGTCTATTCATGTACTTTGCCCAATTTTTGATGGGATTATTTGTTTTTTCTTGCTGATTTATTTGAGTCCCTTGTTTTGTACAATTTTTTGTACAAAAATTGTACAAAAGGGGTTCCTAAAAGTGTTATTTGCAAATATACTGAGTTCTTACTCTGTGTCACTTGGAATTTTCAAATGTCTAGTAGTAAAAACTTATGTTCTACTAATATTAAATTAGTATTAGAACTCTAGATAGTTCCTTATTGCAATTTTAATTTTCAAATGTAGGTTCAGTAATTTTTGAGTAAACAATACTTCTAGGCATTGTTACAATTCATTGATTTTCAAATTTCTCTCTATGTTGTCCTTAAGTTTTATAGTGGTACTTCAGAAACAATGATGAGAAGTCAGGACAAGGCCCATCATTTAGGGTTTCCAGGACTAATATCAACTTTATATTTGCAAATTTTACACCTTAGAATTCTTTGAAAGTTATTATCAAGAAAAAAAGTTTTGAAAACAACAGATATAGACAGATACTGTAGTGGGCTGAAGAGTGTCGCCCCAAAATCCACGTCAACACAGAACTTTGGAATGTGATCTCATTTGGAAATAGGGTCTTTGCAGACGTAATTAGTTAAAGTCTTGAGGTTAAAATCATCCAGGATTTAGGATGAGCACTAAATCTGATAACTGGTGCCTTATAAGAGAGAGAGTAAAAAAGGAGATTTGGGCATAGAAAGGCATGCAAACACAGAGGAGACAGAGACACAGGAACAAGGTCTTGTGAAAATGGAGACTGGGATTCAAGTTATACTATCACTAGCTAAGGGATGCCAAGAATTTCCAGCACCTACTAGAAGCTAGGATAGGTGCATGGGACAGTTTCTCTGAGCTTCTAGACAAAACCAAACTTGCCAACACCTTGATTTTAGGCATCTGGTCTTCTAAATTGTAAGTGAATATATTGTTGTTCAAAGCCACAAAGTTTCTAGTAATTTCTTATGGTAGCACTGGGAAATTAATACAGATACCAAGATTAATTTTACTTCAAAATTACCTTATCAACTCAGTAGCAAAATTAGTGAGTGGTTCCCACATATTTTACAAAATCCTGAAACCTGCAATAGGCAGAATAAGTAAATATCACCCTTAACGAAGAGTATTCTAGAATGATGATTATACTATAAATTCATTTGGCCTTCTTCCCAGTATTTCCTTTTCTGTCACTACTGATTCTTTGGGATAGCCAAGTTCAAGGTGACTCATGACTGGTATTACTTAATGACAGTCCATAAATGGTCCTATTCATACCTTCCAGAGACCTTTCAGGACTGATATGAGAGCCAAAAGTCATGGGAAGGTCTGGCAGTGATTGTGGTCTGCACATCAAAGCACTTCCTGAAAAATGTAATAGGCCAAGATATTTGGGGAAAAGCAGACAAATGAGGAAGAATTCCTAGTCAGAGCTAATTTGAGAGTGGGGATAAAAACTACCTGTTAAATGATTTACTGCTCTTAAGCCATAGATACTGTTGACTTTATTCTGCTGCAGTTTCTAAGGCTGTTTTCTGCTAGTTCAAAGAGTCAGGAAAGAAGACAAAAAAGATATGTCTTGAGATTATGTGCCAGTTTTTGCCAGTATACATGCTAATGACCTATTTCATACCTTAATCATCAAAAATATTATTAGTGGTATCCCTGTTCTATCTTTATTTTTTCTACTACCAATAAGTTCCTCATCTAATATAAAGATTTCTCTTAAATATTTGTACTCAAAACCTTTTATTGGATTGCATTTGTATACACATGAAGTCCTTACATCTTAGCCACAATTCAAGCTTCCTCTTGGTGTAAATTAATCTATCTTTTCATCTTTACCTTGCACTATTCCATTAAATAATCCATGCACACTTAAGAAACAAAGTGTGTATTGCCAAACTTACTTTGCATTTACTTTTATTATTCTTTATCTTACTCATTCCGTACCTTCACTTGCTATAATCTCTTCATTTTCTATGTATCAACATCATATCTCTTTTAAAGTTTACACACTTCCCTCATCATCTAAGATAAATTAATCTCTTCTTTAATAAACCCCAATAATTTTAGCATATTATTGATATAATACTAGACATCTCATTGAATTTTAGGTATTTTTGAAATCATAAAATCACAGAACATTCTTTATAGAACAAACTTAGTAGTATGTCTCCAAGTATCCCTAACTTGCTTGATGAAAATAATCATCTGGGAGGGTGCTTAATGGGAGAAAATGTCCCATGAACCTATCTTAGCTCCTAGTAGTTGCAGGAAATCCTTGGCATCCATTCGCTTGTGATAGCATAACTCGAATCCCAGCCTCCATCTACACAAGACCTGAATATAGATTCCTGGATGCTGCCTCAATTCTACTTCATCAGAGGAAGAGTCTGGACATACGTACATTTAGCAATGTCCCAGATAAGTTTATAACCACTCGAATTTGAGAAACACTAGTCCCGTCAATTCCCCTTATTACATAAGTGAGGTAACTGTAATCCCTGCCTGAAGATAACCACCATGTCCAGAGACCATATGAGTAATTAGTGACAGAATGAAAATCGAGGCTAAGGTAATGTGCTCTTTCCATAGCATAACTCTCTCACATATGATTGTAAGTCTTAGAGAATGAAACTGGGTCTTTATTGTTTTTTTCTTGTGGTGTTTTGCATAATAAATTACACATGCCATTGGAGAAGTGGATAGTGAAATAATTTTAGGGAAGTAGACTGTGAACTCTATGTCAATAGCTTCCAAATAGGTTAATAAAAACAGGCAAATGGGAAGAGGCACAGCAAGGTGGCAGAATAGAAAGCTTCACTGATTGACCACCCAGCAAAGACATGAAGTTAGCAGCTGTCTACACAGAAACAACACCTTCATTAGAACCAAAAATCAGGACAGCCCTCATAGTACCTGATTCTAACTTCATATACTAAAAGAGGCACTGAAGAGATAGAAAAACAGCCATGAATCATGGATGCCTCTCCTCCCCAACCCCTGAGAGCAGCTGTGCGGTACTAAGAGCGTCTCTGGGCGCTGTGGGAGGCAGAGCACAACACTTGTGAGGCATTGAACCCAATGCTGTCCTTTTAGAGCAGAAAGGAAACCCGGACAAAACTCAGCTGATGCTCACTCATGAAGGGAGCATTTAAACTCATCCTAGCCAAAGAGGAATTGTCCATCCGAGCAATCTGAACTTGAGTGCCTGCAAACCTTACCACCAAGGGCTACAACAGTCTGTGTCTCCAAGTAAACTTGAAAGGCAGTCTAGGCCATAAGGACTGCAAATCTTAGGCAAGTCCTAGGGCTGAATTAGGCCCAGAAAGAGTGGCCTGGGGGAACACACAACATACTGAGACACCAACTGGGGCAGCCAAGGGAGTGCTGACATCATCGCCTCTCACCTAAACCCAGGCTACACAGCTCATGGCTCCAAAAGAAACCCCATCCTTCCACTTGGTCAGTAAAGTTGCAGCATACAAAATCAACATACAAAAATCAATAGCATTTCTATATGACAACAGTGAACAATGTGAAAAAGAAATTTAAAAAGTAATTTTATTTACAATAGCCACATGTAAAATTAAATACCTAGAAATTAACCAAAGAAGTGAAATATCTTAATAATGAAAACTGTAAAACGCTGATGAAACAAATTGAAGGGGACATCAAAATATGGAGAAATATTCCATGTTCGTGGGTTGGAAGAATCAGTATTGTTAAAATGTCCATACTGCCCAAAGCAATCTACAGATTCAATGCAATCTCTATCAGAATACCAATGATATGTTTTACAGAAACACTAAAAACAATCTTAAAATTTATCTGGAACCCCCAAGGATCCAGAATAGCCAAAGATACCCTGAGCACAAAGTACAAAACTGGAGGCATTACATTACCTGACTTCAAATTATACTAAGGAACTACAGTAAACAAAACAGCATGGTACTGGCATAAAAACAGAAACATAGACCAATGGAACAGAATAGAGAACCCAGAAACAAATCCACACACCTAAAATCAACTTATTTTTGACAAAGGTGCCAGGAACATACACTAGGAAAAAGTCTTTTCAATAAATGGTGTGTTGATAAAACTAGATATCCATATGCAGAAGAATGAAACTAGACCCATATTTCTCACCATAGACAAAAATCAAATCAAAATGGACGAAATATTTAAACATAAGATTTCAAACTATGAGACTACTATAATAAAATCTTGGGGAAAATCTCCAGGGCATTGGTCTGGGCAAAGATTTTTTGAGCAATACCCCAGGAGCACAGGCAAAAAAAGCAAAAATGAACAAATGGGATCACATTAAGTTAAAAGGCCTTTGCACAGCAAAGGAAACAATCAACTAAGTGAAGAGACAACCCACAGAGTGGACGAAAATATTTGCAAACTACCCATCTGACAAGGGATCAATAACCAGAATATATAAGGAGTTCAAACAACTCTATGAGAAAATAATTAATAATCCAATTAAAAACAGGCAAAAGTTTTTAAAATGTGTTTCTCCAAAGAAGACGTACAGATGGCAAACAAGCATATGAAAAGGTGCTCAACATCACTGATTATCATACAAATCAAAACTACAATTAGATATCATCACACCCTAATTAAAAAGACATATTCAAAAGACAGGCAATAACAAATGCTGGAGAGAATATGGAGAAAAGGAAGCCCTCATACACTGTTGATAGGAATGTAAATTAGTACAACCACTATAGAAAATATTTTGGAGGTTTCTTGAAAAACTAAAATTTAAGCTATGATATGACCCAGCAATCTCACTGCTGAGTATATTCCCAAAAGAAAGGAAATCAGTATATTGAAGAGAGCTGCACTCCTACATTTGTTGTAGCACTGTTCACAATGGCTAAGATTTGGAAGCAACCTAAGTGTCCATCAACAGATGAATGGAAAAAGAAAATGTGGTACATATATGCAGTGGATTACTATTCAGCCATAAAAAGAATGAGATCCAGTCATTTGCACCAACGTGGATGGAACTGGAGATCATTACGTTAAGTGAAATAATACATGCACAGAAAGACAAACTTTGCATGTTCTCACTTATTTACAGGATCTAAAAATCAAATCAATTAAATTCATGGGCATAGAGAGTAGGAGGATGGTAACCAGAGGCTGGGAAGGGTAGTGGGGGGATAGGAGGGTTGCGAATGGTTAATGAATTCAAAAATATAGTTAGGTAGAATGAATAAGAGCTGGTATTTGATAGCAAAAAAGGGTGAGTACAGTCAACAATTATTTATTGTATATTTTTAATTAACTTGAAGAGTATAATTGGATACTTTGTAACTCAAAGGATAAACGGTTGAAGGGATGGATACCCCATTCTCCATGATGTGCTTATTTCATATTGCATGATATATGAAAACAAATCATGTACCCCATAAATATATACATCTACTATGTACCCACAACAATTAAAAATTTAAAACTTAAAAAATAAATAAAATTACTTGACATAGTAGTTTGTATAACTGAAAACATCATATTTAAAAAGAGCCAGAGAGAAATCATAAATACCTACTCTATTTTGAATAAATATTGGCACTGTACTTGAGAAAATTATTTCCCAGTGCTCTCCTGAGACTTGCAAGGAACTATAAAATATTTTCATTTGAACTTGACAACTTAAAAATGTGTACAGTGGAATTCTCTCATGTGCAGAGTATATGGATCTTATAGGGAAATACAGCACAGGCAGATGGGAAAATTCCAGTCTCATTTAAATACAGGAGGAGCTATGAGGTTTGAAAAGACAAATAGAAATAAAAGCAGTATGGATATCTGGGCATATTGTTTTAGAAAATAATGAACACTCTCTAGATTCTCCATTCTGAATATAAGATTATTTCACTCATGATGAAACCTCTAGGTTTTTGTAGCATTGTTCTTATTTTTAAAAAGCCCACTTATACCTTCTTGGTGTCACAATTTGTTTCTGTCTTTGTAATGTCAATGCACTTGGTTTGATCTGACAAGTTTAATGTCATTTGATAGGATGAAAGCCAACCATTTTCTGAGAGCTGAGTGCTTGAAGGGCACTCATCCATTTTGTAAGAAAATTCTATTCCTTTCTAGTACTTCTATAGTCCTTTCTTTTTTTATTATTATTATACTTTAAGTTTTAGGGTACATGTGCACAATGTGCAGGTTAGTTACATATGTATACATGTGCCGTGCTGGTGCGCTGCACCCACTAACTCATCATCTAGCATTAGGTATATCTCCCAATGCTATCCCTCCCCGCTCCCCCCTCCCACAACAGGCCCCAGAGTGTGATGTTCCCCTTCCTGTGTCCTATAGTCCTTTCTTTAGATAACAGAATGAAAATCAATACATTATGAAGTCTGAAATCCTGTCAGAAGAAAAAAAATTAACTCTCCAGATTTTCTAGCATCCTAAGATGTAAACAGAAAGCTATGATAAATATGTTATTTTACCTACAAATAAAAGCAACTGCCTTTAAAAAAGAACTTACCACGCAGTAGTCACTATAATTACGTAAATACATGTTTTCAGTATTTCATTTAGTACAGTATTTAATAGTGTTTTATTTAATGGCCACAAAAATGCCATCAGAGAGGTATTTTTATTTTAGTTTTACAGATTAAGAAACTGACTCATAGAAACTTGAATTCATCAAAGTAAAATGACAATAGATGAAAAGACTTGATTCAAATTCTGATCTGCCTGACTCCAAATTCTAGGTAATAACCTTTTGCTACACAAAGCATGTTTCTAAGTGCGTCTTATTAACCTCACATGGAAGCATGTTAGAAATACAGAATAAAGGGCCTACTAAAACCTACTGAATCAGAATCTTCATTTTAACAAGTTCCCTGGTTGATTTTAAAGCACCTTAAAGTTTGAGAAACCTGTTACTAGGGTTGAGAGTGCCTGTCCTCTTGTAGAACCCAGTGATATATATGTTATTAAATTTAGTAATTGGCACAGACTATCCTTTGAACAAAAGTCAGGCTCCTCTGAGTCCTCTTTCTGACTAATCCCTGCCCTTGGGTTCTGTGCTTGGCCCATTTCCTCCAACAGCAAGAATCCTGCTGGGTCAGATTAGCAAAACTCTCTTGCCCTTGACATCTGATCCCTGACCCCTGGTATCTGACCACCTTTGATAGCTTATCAAATCTCTTATCTCATGCCCTCTATATCTTCTCACTCTTGCCGGCCTTCAATAATACTCCTGTAGGGTGCAGTGGTTCATGCCTGTAATCCCAGCACTTTGAAAGCCTGAGGTGGGAGGATCTCATGAGGCCAAGAGTTCAACACCAGCCTGGGCAATATAGCAAGACCTCATCTCTACAAAAAATAAAAAATTAGCTGGACATGGTGGTGTGCCGTCCCAGCTGTTCAGGAGGCTGAGGTGGGATGATCACCTGAGCCCAGGAGTTTGAGGGTGTAATGAGCTATAATAGGCACCACTGCACTCTAGCCTGGGTGACACAGCAAGACTCTGTCTCAAAAAAATAAGATAAAATAAAATAAAACTCATGTAAAGTTGGTTTACCCAGAATTCCCCTTATCATAGATATTTTCTCTTATTAGTTTCCCATTCGCTCACCTCCACTATGCTCTTTGGTTATAAATTCCCATTCCCCTTTGTGTACCTGTATTGAAAGTTGAGCCCAATATCTCTCCCCTACAAATAAACAAAACAAAACAAACAAACAAACAAAAAACATTGCTGTAGTTTCCCTGAATAAAGTCTGCCTTAGCGTCTTTAACAAGTGTCATGAATAAATTTTTCTTCAACATAATCCAAGAGATATAAACTAACTGGTAGCTCAAACATTATATTAGCCCTAAAGTATGAGTTTTAAAATGAGAGCAGTATATTTATATCACACATATTTGCTTTAAAATTTAGTTAGAATATGAAACTTTTGAGAACATGAAACTAGCATGCCTCCATGTTCATTTTAATAAAATATTCAGGAGGCTCTTGTTAACATAACACTCTGTGAGTTACTATCTGCAGAAACGGATAAAGAGAAGTCATTGCCTTCTAATGGAATCACTGTCAGATTCTTCAATTAAAGAAATAAAAATGGGTAAATTAAAATTGCCTCATTTTTCTTTTTTCTCTATCCTCATTCTTCACCAAACTCTCTTCCTCTCATGTCTTACTTCTCTTGAATCTTTTTGTTGCTTTCTTAAGAAAGTAGACTCCAGGGTCCTTCAGCATTGTTCAGTCTCACATTCATCCTTCAATGGAGTGATTGAGAAAACTAAGCCCATGGAGTTTGAGAATGATCAAACTCATGTAGTAAGAAAAGGCTTAGCCCTTTCAGTATAACTAACGTGTTATTCTCTATCCCCAAGGGAGAGGTTGGTTCTAATAATAAGTTCTCCAAGAACATAAAGCAATGAATACAAATTTTGGAAAGAATAAAAAGATTCTAGGGAGGCATGCCCCTTAGACCTTAGAAAGTTTCTCAATGAAAATGAGCAGATGAAGAAAGCAAAAATGATCTTAAAATTAGCCTCTAGACTAAATTATCTGTCAGTTGATTATGGTCAGTTTCAAATGTCTGTGCTGGCTATGACTTATTATTGTTTTTGAAATGCATAAAATATTCAATGACTAAGTAAGATCGTTTAAATGAGAGATACTTATTGAAAAGATTAAGAACATTTGTTTAAAGTCTTTTAAATACAAGCTTAATAGTTCCAGGTGATCAGGAAAATATAATTTAACTGTTTGTTATAATATATATAACAAACTTAATATATAGATAAGCTTATACATATATATGTATATAAAGCATATATGTATACAAAGCATATATATACACACACATATATAAGCTTATACATATATATATACTTGTATATATAAACTTATATAAACAAGCTTAATAGTTCCAAGTGATCAGGAAAATATAATTTAACTGTTTAATAAACTTTATATATATATATAACAAAATTATAACTGTTTGTTAAAATATATAACATTTGAAAATAATGGGCTAGGAATTGTCTTTCTTTTACTACCAAGTAGTTTTTAAAAAATGAGTCAACTGGATTCTTGAAAGCAAGAATCCAACTGTTTTCATTAAGTTCTGTCATCATTCATTTCTTTCAATTATCTTCCCTTTCTTGTTGACCATTTTTCCGGACAGCACCACTTTATCTATTTTTAAGATCCTTTGATGCCAACCAGCACAAAGGGGCTACTGGCTCCACCTTCATTATTCCTGAACTGTTGGTGGATATTTACACCATCATTTACAATGAAAGCCTGAGCCAAACGTAAGACACTGTAATCATCACAGTCACTGTGATAAAATGTTGGTATTTAACTGAAAGAGGAAATGCATTGATTTGGTTCAGCTGACCTGAAATCATGAACGAAACTTAAGTAATTACTTTCCATGTCAGGAAAAGGGAAAACCACAAGTTTAGCAACTTCTGTTGTCAGCATTTTTACTTTATTTGTTTGTTTGTTTTCTTAGAGAGGGAGTGTTGCTCTGTCATCTAGGCTGGAGTGTACTAGTGTGATCATAGCCCACGGTAACCTTGAATTCCTCGGCTCAAGGGATCCTTCTGCCTCAGCCTTCCAGGTACCTAGGACTAAAAGTGCATGCCACCACACCCAGCTAATTTATTAAAAAAAAAAAAATTGTAGATACAGGGTTTCTTTCCCTATGTTGCTCAGGCTATGTTTATTTATTTGTAAAGTGAGTAACAGAACAAGGCTTTAACAGAAAATAATTCAACAACCTTTTCCCTGGAAATAAAAATTATTTTATAATGCAATGTCACTTTCTCTTTTATTTCCATTGTTGATATTATAAGGTATTGACTGGAAGAAAAAGCCTTCAGTAACTTTCAATTCACTTCCTGGCTAAGCATATTGGAAGCTGAAAGTAATATTAGATATAAAGCAGTTCAATTTTCATATTTTATTGATGCAGCATCTGATATATAGAGAAGTAAGGTACTTCTCCCATAATCACGTCACTGATTGCCAAATCAGGCCTAAGAATGCAAATGTCAGTTGCATGTGATTCTAATCACACTATGAACTATTAATAAATTCGGACTCAAGTTTCTGCTTTGTATCTGTTATCTCATGAAAAGAGGACTGGGGCAGCATAAGGAATATCAAATCCAACCCATTTTCTGTCTCAATGGATAAGATCTATATTTCTTTCCAGTAAGGTTCTAGAAGGATGAAGATAAATGGAAGTCATAAACTGTAGTCCAAAATTAAGATACATGAGACTAAAATCAACCCTGGCCATAGAGTAGACCCTGATAATTAAGCAATTATCTTATTGACCAAAATGAGTCACTGATATAAAGCCTAGGTCTTCATTGTAACATAAGGATTAACTTGGAAAGTAAAAGCCTGAATAGAATCAAGAGGATTCACAAAGGACTGGAGAGGGAACTCAAGATTCCATTATTACAATACCACTAATCAGATTTGATGTAAAATTTTTCTTCACTCAATAACTTTAAAATAAAGCCACAAACACAGTTGACTTAGAAGGTAGACTCCGAGGCAAAAACAAAACAATAGCAAAAAGATTCTGAAAGGTCCCTCTTGCAAAATGAAACACTTATTTTAAATTATAAAGCAGGCAAACACAAAAAGTTACTTGTGGCCTCTTATGGTGAGTATGTTAGTGTAAGATACAGTGCCTGACTCAGGGTTCTCATAATCTTACGGAGGAAGGACTAACATGCATGATGTGCTAGTCATTCTCTGTTTGCTCATACATTCAGCTTCATTTTCTGCTGGTATCTACACTGTTGCTTTGGAAGGTTGTCCTATTCAAAATTCCAGGATCCCTTGTTGGTTTCTATTTGAGTTCAGCCAAAGAAGAACATTAATGGCTATCAGTGAGGAGAAGAAAGGTTGGGGGATATCTCTCTACTTCTGTACTCCGGAGCCACATCTTAGGCAATTGTTTAACCTCCAAGACTAGCTCTCCCATGGGGCGGGACCACTTCCAAGGTGCTAGTTCTCACCTTTTTGGTAACAGTTTTTCCAATTCTTGCCATTCAGCTCTAGAGGTGGTAAAAGCTTCTTCCTGTTGCTCCTCTCTGAATAACAACAATTCTTTGTTTTTTGCCTTTACCTGTACACATCTCTTTCTTTCTTTTTTTTTTTTTTTGAGGCGGAGTCTAGCTCTACCGCCCAGGCTGGAGTGCAGTGCCGCGATCTCAGCTCACTGCAAACTCCGTCTCCCGGGTTCAGGCCATTCTCCTGCCTCAGCCTCCTGAGTAGCTAGGGCTACAGGCGCCCGCCACTGCGCCCAACTAATTTTTTGTAGTTTTAGTGGAGACGGGGTTTCACTGTGTTAGCCAGGATGGTCTCGATCTCCTGACCTCGTGATCTTCCCGCCTCGGCCTCCCAAAGTGCTGGGATTACAGGCGTGAGCCACCGTGCCCGGCCGTACACATCTCTTTAATAGTACCTTCATTAAAGTTTATTCAATTTAAATATTTGGAATGAATTCTGTTTCCTGTCAGGACCCTGACTGATATGCAAGAAACAAATACCAAACAAAAAAAAGTTTATTATGTGTTTCAAAAAAATATATATATAGTTGGATTTTTCTCCACGTGCATATAGAGGAAAGAGTATTTCAACATATTGGATTATTATTCTTTGTATGACTGTGTGTGTGTGTGTGTGTGTGTGTGTGTGTGTGTGTGTGTGTGTGTTTTGTGGTGGGAGAAGGGGAAGGGTGTTCTTTGGTGAAATACTTTTACGAAATACTGTTGCCACAAATGTTAACAAATATTTCTGCTTTCTATCTTTCAGTTTTTAATATGCTAACATTGTCTGTTAGTTGCTAAAAATAAATATGTATATGCAGCACATAGCAAACATATCTGAACACAAATCCTATTGTTCTTGGGTCATCTCCCAAGATCAGTGATTCACTAACCATAACAGGGAAAGCACTGCGTGGGTCAGCTGAGGATAGAAATCCAACTTCCTTGTAGCCATAGAATGATTGGACTTGTGTCTTGAACTTTTCCCATGGGGTCTCTCTTAGATATTTTTCTCCAGGATTTCACCAGAAGCCTACTCAGTGAGAGGCATACATTTTTTTTTTCACAACTGAAGATCCTGAGCTCAAGTACCTCACAGTCTTGTCCCAAGATAATGTTTTCCACCAGTGTATGCTGAGTGTTGCAGTTTGAGGATGTCAAGACAATAAGGAAGTTTTGACTGGGCAAGGCTGACAGGCCTCCCGCAAAGAACTAGGAGGTGAAAAAACTTTGAGGAAGTCACCAGGCTCCAGGATTATATTTTGGGATTTTAAGCTATATTATTTATTAGTTTCTAAACTCAGAAGTTATTACTTTTGGAGTTCTGGCTCACAGTCCTTAGGTAATAAGAAATTTTGAGTTGAAACTCGAAAAAAATGAATTTATTGAGTTATATTTGTAAATATTACTTTCAAATAGAATTGCTACTTGTATATATTATTCAGTATATTTTCTTCCAGGAGACATACCTACTTTGGAAGCCACAGTACAAATGTAACATTATTTGATGACATGGAATTGGAACAAAGCAGTTATCTGAAACATCTTAGTGGCTAGTATATCTATATCTCCAAGGCACAGATATTTCCACCCTTACGCTCACATTCCTTGTTCACATGATAAAGATGAAGGCATGTATAAAATATTTGTCTCTAACTTCTCCTTTTTTATGCTTCTGTGACAAATCATTATGTTTTATATTTATATACTCTTTGGAGAATATTCTTTTGTTTCTCTTATCAAGCAATTATTTTAATTGCTGTCAGTTCAAGGAGGAAAAGAACAATATCTGTTTTGTTTATGATCGTATTCAATTGCTTGACACAGGTGTGGCTTGTAGCAGATGCTCAATGACTGAAAAATCATGGCTTTTTCATATGTTAATTCATTTAATCAGTAAATGGACAAGATTTTGGGGTCATGTCTACATCCTAAATTTGCAAAATCATGTATTTCTACTCTGAGTCAATATGTTAGTTTTATAATTTAAATCTTACAATACTGTTTTACTTCCCTATCTTCCCATTGCTCTAATTACTCTCTAGTTTTCCCACCTAAAATGTACAGTACAGTATTCTTCTGATGGCTGAGGTTTCCACTGCTTCATTTCATGTAAAGAGATTCTAAAGTAGCCACAAAGTATATTTAACCAATTCATTTCAATTATTTCATGTATTAGATAAAATGAGAAATATATGGTCTCTAGAAGGGTTCTGTACACTTAGCAATAAGACTACAAATATTTTTTGAAGATAAAGAGCAATATTGAGCAAGCAGAAGAAAATTCTTAGGGAGAAGCTTCCATAAGACTTCACATTATTTGAGTTGCAAGTTTCAAGTAAGTTAGTTCTATACTTAGCCAGTTCTCAAATTACCTCATAAAATACAGGATGCTCTTTATTACTAATGGGCTTAACATTTAAGGATTTGTTAATATCCCAAATCATAAAAAGTGAAAGGATAAAGTAAAACAGGGGCATTTTTGGAAGTGTGGAAACAGGAACATTTCCTCACTTCCAAATCGGGGATATGTCCCCTAGATAATAAACCTCTGAAGTTTATAAAATGATTCTTTACTTGATCCAAATCATACAGTGATGGTCAATTTGAGTAAATTGTTGCCGGAGAATTGAATCTAACACAGAGATGCCGGCAAATTATCATTTTGAAAAGAACTTTTACTATTTAATTATAATATTAGTTTCAATACATTTGATTTTTTGTCAAAGTTTTAAAAAATAAACATTTCAATAATCGTATGTAAGTAGTAGTGTTTAGAGTTGGAATAAAACATGAACATCAACTAGTGCAACATCCTAATTTAAAAGACACTAAAATTGGAGCCCAGTATTTGATCTGTATATCTGTGCTGGAGCCAGGATAGGGATTTCAGTCCCCAAAAGCTGACCCAGTAGTCTCTCCTCTCTGACATAAATTAAACCTGATTTTCATGAATAATATGTGACATGTTATCCTAAAGCTAATTTATACGAAGGCATAGAATCCTTTAAATGAATAGAAGTCCATATAATTTTTATAACATTGCTGACAAGTATGTTGTTACTTTTTATTTGGGGAAAAATCCATAAATTCACATAATTTGGAATAGTTTATCTTAAGGGAATGCATGTAATTGAGAGGTAAAATCCTTTTCATTGAGAAAGTGATAAAGAAACTTGGACAACTAAAAAAAATTACGTCCTTTAGTGGGTCATGAAATAATTCTGTTAAAATTTGAAGGAACTGAAAGAAAGTAAAAGATTACATGAAGAAATGGACAACTAAGATCTCTAGAAAGAGTAAAACAAAATTCAACTGGCTTCTTCTAACAGCCAATGATAATATATATATTGAGAAGATAAAGATAAACTAAAGAAGGACTACTCTGTTTTAAAACAGGATGTAATTAAAATATAAAGTGCCCGGGACAGTCTTTTCAGCCAAGATAAAGTTCAAAGTTAAACAATGCCCTTCAGAGCAATGAACAAAAATCTGGACAGTAAAATGTGGTCTCAGGATAAAAATGAAGTAAAGGGTGTAGCTATAAATTTTTTTCTTAGGACCTCAGAAGCACCTTCGGAGCATCTCTCACAAACCCTCTTTGCTAGGCAGCAGAACTTCTAAGAATCTTAAAAATGTGGTCTGGCATCATGCTCATAGGTGGTCCAAGATAAATAAAGACCTGTCTTGGAAAGAAAGGAAGATGTGGCTTTTGTCTAATGGAGTGACCACCCGATAAGAATCATAAGCAAGGGGTGGGGGATGGGGCAGGGGGAGAGGAAGGGAGGGAGGAAGAGAGAGAAAGAAAGAGAGAAATAAATAGAATTTAATTAATAATGAATTTGTACTATTAGAAGCACCATGAGCTTGGACCAAAAGGAACAAGAACTGTTCAGAATGAGAATAATCTTTGGTACTCTCAACCTTCTGCACACAGGAAGCGCACCAAGAAAGCTATTCAGATACAAACATGGGCCATTTATTTTGAGAAATATAGGATGGCTCAGAAGGCTCAACTAAGATCCCAGAGGACCAACTGGTGTTTCAGCAATAGCACTGGGCCCTAACCAAGGATCTGGAAACATGCTTAGTTGAATTTTAGAATTGATGTGGACTATTCCTCCTTTTAAATAGAATTGTCTATTAAGGCTATCCTATCCTATCTCAATAGTGTTAGGCCAGAAGTGATGAGGGCAGATGACTTGTATTCTGATTGAAAGGAATAGAGCTCAAAGAACAGCATCTGAGGAGTCTCTTCTGTACCTGGACCTGATTAAGATGACAAGGTCCTGGATGTTCATGTTATTGCCATAAGAGGATAAGACTTTGGCAGTCTTGGAAAAGGGTGAGTGCATTTTTTTCACTTGAATAGGATGTAAATATTTTCTGTCCAGAGGGATGACTGTGGTGGATTAAAAATGACCGCACATCGTTTGGGCTCCTATCTTTGAGAGATTTTCTTTTCCCTCCCTTGGAACATACTCTGGCCTACAGTTGCTTTGACCAATGGAATACTGCAAAAGTGATGCTATATGCTGGTCTAGATCTATAATTTAAGAAGACTGGTGCTTCTACTATGGTCTCATATAAACCTGAGCTGCTATGTAAGAACTCTGATTACCCAGCGGCTGCCAGGCTAGCCAGTCGAGAGACTGTGGAAAAAGACCATGGGGAGGCACAGACGAGCCAACACCCTGTTGGTCCAGACTGAACCATTAGAGCCACCTCAGCTAATTCATCTGCTATAATGGAGCAAAAGCAAGCCTTACTGCCCCCTCTCTGAATTCCTGAGCCTTAGAATTTTGAAGTGAAATAATGATACATTTTTGGTTTCAGCCATTATGTTTTGATGTAAGCCGTTATGCAACAAAGGATAACTAGAGCACAAATATAGTATATGCATTAATAATATGCAAAATATTTTGTGGCTTACAAAAAGTGGACAACGTTCATTGAAGGTGAGAAATATTTAATGAAATATTATTTTCTCTTTCTCCCAATCATTGTGAAACTCATTTATTGGAATGCAATGAACACAATTCATAAGAACTGATGTCAACACTTTGATGAAATATAATTATTAACTCTAAAATTGTTTTCGTATTTTTCCAGCTTCACTGAAGTATAATTGACAAATAAAAATTGTATATATTTAGATGTATTTGATGTTTTGATATACATTGTGAACTAATCTCCACAATCTAATTAACATATCCATCACCTCACCTACTTGCCATTTTCTTTGCTGATTTTATGGTAAAAACATTTTTTAAAAATGAAAGCCACATGAAATGGACTTACTCCATGAGATAGTGTATTAGGTCAATTAATAAGGAAGAAGTACATTTTAATAATATGGATTATATTCAGTTATAAAATTTGGAAGCATACATCATGACACCCTTGACTCATTTATTTTTTCAAGCAGCCTACACCAAAGAAAAATCATACTGGGTTTTTCATTATGGTTCATACCCTACAGGTGGCTCTCAATCTCTTTCCTTGTTAGTACAGTATTATTGAATCACCCTTTCCTGCTCGTAATTTATTTGTGTTATTTTTTAAATTTGGTCTCTAAATAAGACAAATGTTTATGACCTCTGTTAATCAGCATTGCAATTATATCTATATATTTATATACTTATATGAATACGTAAAACTGGAAATTTGGATTTATACTGAAAAAGTCACAGAATAATTGCATTATGGTCATGAACACTCATTTCCAAAAAAAAGTGGTATGGAGTTGTTTCTCTGTTTCTAAACCCCATCTCAGCTCTGGAGATGGATGGTACTCCTTGGAACATTCTAGAGTCTCTACCCAAGAGCTCCTTGAGCAACTGAGAAAGAGGTGGAGCCAACTCTCGGAAACCTTTGCAGCCTAGGTTACCCGCATCACTCTTCTGGGGTCATTACCGCTTGGGCGCTCATTTTGAGAGGCTTCAGACCAAGCTTAAAAGACCATGAGTTACAGTCGCCTTCCTCCCAATGTCGAAGGCATGACTTCCCTCAAGGTGGACAACCTGACCAACCGCACGTCGGCCAACACCCTGCGAGCTGTGTTCAAGAAGTATGGGAGCATGGGCGACGTGTACATCCCCTGGGATCGCATCACTAGACAGTCCCGCCGCTTCACCTTCATCCTCTTCCACTTCAAGCACCAGGTCGAGGATGCCATGGACGCTCTCGACGGGATCATGCTGATGGCCAAGAGCTTTGTGTGCAGGTGGCACGCCATGGTCATCCCCCACGTTTCTACCGTAACTTCCGCCGGGTAACGTCTTCTAGCAGGTATGAGGGAGACAACTACAAACGCCAGAGGCTCAGCCGAAGGCGTCGTCATCCCAGCCGTTCCTGTAGCAGGGGCCGATCTGGATCCCAGCGGCAGATCTCCCTTCAGCAGCTCGAAGTCGAAGTCCTCTCACTAGAGTCGAGGTCCCCTCACTCCAAGTCGAAGTTCTCTCGCTCACGCACGCGCTCGGGCACTCGCTCTTGCAGCCGCTCTTGCACTCACTCTCCATCAACCTCTGGATCTGGATCTACCCGAAAATCCAAATTCAATTCCTCTTCAGTGTCTGGATCTTGTTTGCTGACTGGGTCCAGCTCCTGGTCCAGAAGCCTCCCACCAGGATACAAGAAGGAATGCAAGTCTAGATGGCTATCCAAGAATGCCTCCAAGCATCGTGAATAGGAAGGAGTGGTATCATTAACCATTAGATTAATCATTCATCAGCAAGCAATCTGAGGACTGGGTAGGGGAGTATACTTAGTTGATTGATGAGTCCTTGGAACAAGCCACTAACAATTGCATAGTTTGTTTTGTAAAATGTATAACCTTTTACTTGTTTTAAGCCTTGCCTCAGGTGATACATTTCATTTTATGTGGCATTTTGTTGCTTTTATTTGAGTAATAATATTTGAATATCTTGTAAATTGGTGAGGTGAAATACTTCAGTTCTGATCATTGGTTTGGATATTTGAAGTAAAATTGCATTTTTGGCCAGGTGGGGGGACTCACGCCTGTAATCCCAGCACTTTGGGAGGCCGAGGCGGGTGGATCACTAGGTCAGGAGATCGAGACCATCTTAGCTAACACGTTGAAACCCCGTCTCTACTAAAAATACAAAAAATTAGCCAAGCGTGGTGGTGGACGCCTGTTGTCCCAGCTACTCGGGAGGCTGAGGCGGGAGAATGGCGTGAATCCGGGAGGCGGAGCTTGCAGTGAGCCGAGATCGTGCCACTGCACTCCAGCCTGGGCGACAGAGCAAAGACTCCACCGTCACAGAAAAAATAAAAATTCATTTTCATTAAAGTGCTGACTTTTTTTATTTGAATGTAAACCGATTGTTAACCTAATTTGTGGCCTCTTGATTTAAGAAAATGTGTATAGCCACTTCATGTTGAATAATCCAAAATGGTATAGTGATTAACTCTTTATTGCCTTCATTCTTTAAAATTAAACACCTAGGTAAGTTGTTATGAATTTATTCCCATGTGCTATTTATTGTTAGGTCTAAATGGTAATCTGAACCCACATTTGTAAGAAAACATTACAGGTGAAAAGAATTGATTTTTTAAAGTATTATTTATCAATGCAATTTAATATCTTATGTACTTTTGTGTACTGCACAGTTCTACAGCAGTTGAGTAATGTTAGGTGGCTGTTAAGGTGATGTTTCGCAATGCAGAGTGCTTGGCTATTTTATTTTTTTTCCTGGTTGCTCCTATGCTGGGCAGAAACAAAGGATGGTCCAGTTCATTATAAGTCTGACAACTACATTTCCAGTCACCCAGGCCATGGACATATCTATCTATCTATATGAAACAGAGCATACAATGAGTACATTTAGCTAATAATAATACATCTTTATTTTTTCCTGTCACCCCTAAAACGGTAAATGTGATCATTTTCATTTGTAAATTTGAATATGAAAAATATTTTTTAAAAGCAAACTATAGCTCTAAGTACTGGTAACATCATCCGTTGTTTTGTTTTGTCTTTTACTGACGCATATTCTGTACTAGCCACTTTCTGAAGTTTAATGAAAATGTTTTTCTTGGTGTTTTAAAACATTAAGTTCATTGATTATACTCTTATCTATGAAACTGTGAAATAAAAATCCACTGATGTTATCCATTTTAAATGTCTTATGAACTATAATTTATCAAGAAAACAGAGTTCCAAGCTTCAGAGACCCAAAGTGTAAATATTTTAATTTAGCAGCTACCCTCAGTGTCTCACATATCTGCTACTGCCTTATGGCTTTTTTTCCCAAGGCTGTCGTGACCTCCCACTGGCTCAGATCTGAATCTTCTTAACTTCCCTTCTATGCCTCAATACACCATTTCAACTTACTGGCTTTAAGTTAATGGAAGACAGTTCATCCTAGCTTGACTTTGGAGTTGGGGCTGGCACTGAATCCCTTGCTTCTCTTTGAACTCAGCATTTGCTGGTACTACTTCTAGCCCCATTCAACCTTTTCTCTTGACTTTATGGTGGTCAATTCAATTCCCACTGCCCCATTCCCTTTGTCTGAGCCACTGATTAAATCAAACTTTGAAAAATACATTCAACCTGCTCACATTACAGTTTATGTAACTAGAGTCTAGAAACATTAAATGATTGAACAACTACTGGTGGTAGGCTTCAACTTCCGTCTCAATTCTCAACCCAACTCTCTTTCCTATACATTGAATTACTTCAGTGTATTGTCTCTGAATACAATGAATTGAAATGATGTTTGGGAACATTATTCGTGATGGTTGGGACCAAATATTAAACACAAGATTTAAAAATAGTCAAGAAGTGTAATGTAGCAGGGCCTCAAAGTTTGAGAGGAAGAGATTTCCCATTGCAGAGGAAATTTCAAAACTTAAGTCTACTATAACTAGCAGCCAGAGATGACACTGAAGTTAATGGTTATTAACCTAACCAAACATCTGTTTTAATTTTTCAAGACATACATACCACACATATATGCACAGACAAGCACACACACCTCCTCACACTCTTTGAGATTTTGGTAAACTTAGGCATCTTAAAAATCCCACCGGGGGCTAATTGGTCACATAACATGATCTCACTCTTTATTAAGGTATTAGTCGAAGACATTTCATTTCCCACCAGGACTGTTTTCTTTCTTAATATAAACCAAATGTTCTCTGGTACTTTACTTCAGAATATTTTCTCTTCATTTCAGAATTAAATGAGTATTATTTTGCCAAGGTTTTAAAATACAGTGTATGATAATATGAAACAAATACAAAAACGGAAATTTTGAAAGGACCGCATGGTACAGAGAAGTAGGAAATTTATTTAATGGAATTAACATTATATGTCATGACCACGTTTAGTTTATAATTAAATGAACGAGTTTGTTCATTTCTTCCAACTCAATTATACTAAATTGTGGTGCCTAACAAATATGTATTAAACAAATGATTAGCAGAATAATTTATTGGTTTTTAAAATTATTTTCATACAAACTAAACCCAATTCAGATATAAATTATATAAACATATTAACTTTATAGAATGGACAAAAGCAAGTAAGTTTTACATGACAAATTTATTAAAAATTACTTCATGAGTTCTGATCATATCACTCTCCTGTTGCAACTATTAGGACCCTTCCTTGTTAATGACGGAATTCTTCAGAAGCTTACACTTAAAATATGGAATACATTGGCTTACAGATCTAAAAATCCTAAGGCACATCTAGCTTCAGGCATCTCTCCTAATTTCTCTCCTTTATCTCTCTTTCTATTTGTTTTCCTGTGTCTCTTTATGTTGGCATTCCTCATTTCAGAAAAAGAAGATAGCCAGAAGCATCTTTAGGTTTATATCCTACCAGGTTAGAAACTACAGTAGAACATAATTTCTCATTTTCAATAGTTCTAGCTAACATCTCGCACTTAACCCTTAATTTAACTGCTTTAGGTTACATGCTCATGCTTAACCAATTACCATTACCAGCATTGTGAGACAGCTGATTGGACATGGCTGGGTAACGTGTCCATTTCTTGAGCCATTGCTGTAAATTCAGCTGCGTTGAAACCACCTGCCCCAAGATTGAACTATTAGTTTTTCCCTGTGGAAAATCAGGCTGCTGTTATGACTATGGTAAATGGATGCTTAAACAGCGGGAAAAAAAACTCTGCTGCTTGTTCTAAAAAAATAACAAAATGTCCTAATTTGTGTCTTCTTTCATGCAGGAATAAATCAAAACTCAGTTTGTTGTCTTTGTCAGTTGTTCCTTCTTGGTTTCATTTCACATTTCCACCTCAGCCCCAAAGTTGTAGCCACTGTTTCCCAGGACAAACCAGGGTCTTTCAAGTCTGTTCCTTCTGTCTGATATCGTTTCTCTCAACCAAAATATGCCTAACTGGCACTTGCTATCTGTAGAAAACCATAATTATCTTTAAAGATTCAGATTTAAATGTAATATCTCTGTGAAATGTTTCCCAACTCCCATTACATAACCAATGCCAATCAGTTGTCTGTACTTACACAATACTACATATATACATGTTTGATAGCCTAAATATATTGTGTTTTGATAATTTTATGTGATGTTTCCATCATATAGTATATGAATTATTTAGAGTTTACACTGTTGCAACATATGATGTCTCTCTATTTACTAGGACATAATGGGCTAAGTTTATGTTGGATGGATTAATTTATTAACTATGTCAAATTACATAACTCATACCAATTTCAGTAGCCAAATCTTGCCCATATAGGAACAACTAAAATGAAGGATTAAAACAAGTGTCCAGTAGGGCTGGTAATATGGATGAGGGCAGAATCACTTAGAGGTCTACTTTTTTTTTTTTTTTTTGAGATGGAGTCTTGCTCTGTTGCCCAGGCTGGATGGAGTGCAGTGGCTCGATCTCAGCTCACCGCAACCTCCGCTTCCCAGGTTCAAGTGATTCTCCTGCCTCACCCTCCCGAGTAGCTGGGATTACAGGTGCCCACCACCACGCCTGTCTAATTTTTATATTTTTAGTAGAGACGGGGTTTCATCATGCTGGCCAGGCTGGTCTTGAACCCTGACCTCAGGTGATCCACCCGCCTCA